>NC_000012.12:44126794-44278309 GCF_000001405.40 Homo sapiens | reverse complement strand
TTTTAGTAGGCAAAACTCTTAAGATGATCTCCAATGATGCTTGCTCTCGTGTAATCTCTTTTTAATCCTGAGTAGAACCTATGAATATGATGAGGCATCACTCTCATGATTGTGTTACCTTACATGGCAAAGGGATTTTTGCAGCATTAATTAAGATTTCTAATCAGATAACCTTGGGTTCATCAAAAGGGAGATTATCTGTAGGGGCCTAACCCAATCACATGAGCCCCTTAAAAGCTCAGAGTTTTGGCCAGGCGCAGTGGCTCACGCCTGTAATCCCAGCACTTTAGGAGGCCGAGGCAGGCAGATCACAAGGTCAGGAGTTCGAGACCAGCCTGACCAACATGGTGAAACCCCATCTCTACTAAAAATACAAAAATTAGCTGGGCATGGTGGCATGCGCCTGTAATCCCAGCTACTCAGGAGGCTGAGGCAGGAGAATCGCTTGAACCCGGAAGGTGGAGGTTGCAGTGAGCCGAGATCACACCACTGCACTCTAGCCTTGGTGACAGAGTGGGACTCTGTCAAAAAAAAAAAAAAAAAAAAAAGCTCAGAGTTTTGTCTGGCTAGTGGCAGTAGATGCAGCATGGGAGGGAAGTTCTCTGTTGCTGAAATGGGGGGAAATCATGTGGCTTAAATTTGAGAGTGACTCTGGGAGCTGACAGCAGCCCTACGAGACAGACAATAAGAAAATGGGGACTTCAGTTCTATAAGTGCAAGGAACTGAGTTCAGCCAACAATAGAAAAGAGTTTGTAAAGAGCCCCAAGCTCAAGATAAAAATGTATTAAAATAGTCAGCAGACAATTTTACTGAAGCCAAAGCAGAAGACCCAGCCATGTCTCAACAAACTTTTGACCTACAGAACTGTGAAATAATAAATGGGTCTTTTTTTTTAAGATATCAAAATTCTTGTAATTTGTTATGCAGTAATAGAAAACTAATACAGCTTTAGAAATTTAGGATACTTGGGATCCTAAAATGATTGTTCATTGGAAACATTTCCTAGTCCAGATGTAGAAAAGAAATGTTTAGCTCTTGACAGCTATAATTAAGATCAACTAAGAAGGATTACCTATACAAACTGGAAAATAAACCTCGGCTTAAGCAAAAACATGTATTCACAGGAAAATGATCATTGAATTAGAAAATAAAAATTAGCATTGAAAGAAAATCTTGTCCAGCTACTTGTCTTCAAATTTATAAATAATTGTTCAAGGAAGGCTGTATCTACCTCTTTTCCCAAAATTTCACGAGAAAGAATAATGCCTTCAAAACCCATCCAGGCATATTAAAATGCTACCTAATATCTAAATGCAATTTCTCTTAGCTAAATTTAACCACCACAGCCTTAGAAGATTGCTAGTCAGGATCTATTACACACACACACACACACACACACATACACACACACACACACAAACTTTTCATGTATTTAAAAAGAACTTCTCAAAGGAAAAAAAACAGGTCTAGCTAATAGACATAGCTCACACTAATTAATTTTTAAATTGAATTTATTTAATTTATTAGCTTTTAGATTGATAAGTAAAAATTATATATCTTTATGGTATATAACATAATGCTTTGATATATGTATACAATACAATGCAGAATGGCTTAATCAAGCTATTTGACATATGCATTATCTCTCAGACTTATTTTTTTGGGAGACATCATTTAACCTACTCTCTTAGAAATTTTTAAGTATACAACATAGTGTTATTAACTATAGGTACCATGGTATACAGTAGATCTATTAAACTTCTTCCTCCTGCCTAACTGAAACTTTTTGTCCTTTGACCAACATCTCCCCAGTCCCCTCACCCCCAGCTGCTGATACCCATTTTATTCTCTTTTTCTATGAGTTCAAGTTTTTAGATTTCACTTATAAGTGAGATCATGCTGTATTTGTATTACTGTGCCTAGCTTATTTCACTTAACACATTGTCCTCCAACTTTATTCATATTGTTGCAAATGATAGGATTTCCTTCTTTTTAAAACTTGAATACTATTCCATTCTATATACATGCCACATTTTCTTATCCATTCATCCACTGATGGATACTTAAGTTGATTCCATATCTTGGCTAGTGTGAGTAATGAGCACTACTGCAATGAACATGGCAGTGCAGGTATCTTTTTGACATACTCATTTCATATCCTTTGGATATATACCCAGTAGAGGGATTGCTTGATCACATGACAGTTCTATTTTTAATTTTTGTGGGTATGTAGTAGGTGTATATATTTATGGGATACATAAGATGTTTTGATACAGGCATGCAATGCATAATAATCACATCATAAAAATTGAACTATCCATCCCTTCAAGCATTTATGCCTTGTCTTACGAACAATGCAATTATACTATTTTAGTTATTTTTAAATATACACTTATTGTTGACTATAGTTACCCTTTTGTGCTATAAAATAGTAGGTCTTATTCATTCTTCCTCACTATCTCTATTGTACCCATTAACCATTCCCACCTCCCCGCCCCCACAAGCCTTTCCAGACTCTGGTAACCATCCTTCTACTCTCTATGTCCATGAGTTCAATTGTTTTGATTTTTGGATCCCAAAAATAAGTGAAAACATGCGATGTTCTTATTTGTGTGCTTGGCTTATTTCACTTAATATAATGATCTCTAGTTCCATCCATGTCATTGCAAACGACAGGATCTCATTCTTTTTAATGGCTGAATAGTACTCCATTATATATATGTACCACATTTTCTTTATCTGTTCATCTGTTGATGAACACTTACATTGCTTCCAAATCGTGGCTATTGTGAACAGTGCTGCAACAAATATGGGACTGCAGATATATCTTTGATATACTGATTTCCTTTCTTTTGGATATATACCTAGTAGTGGGATTGCTTGATCATATGGTAGCTCTATTTTTAGTTTTCTGAAGAACCTCCAAACTGTTCTCCATAACAGTTGCACTAATTTACATTGCCACCAACAGTGTATGAGGGTTCCCTTTGATCCACATCTTCATTATTTGTTATTGTCTGTCGTTTGGATAGAAACCATTTTAACTGGGGTGAGACGACATCTCACTGCAGTTCTGATTTGCATTTCTCTGATGATCAACGATGTTTAGCACCTTTTCATCTGCCTGTTTGCCATTTGCATGTCTTCTTTTGAGAAATGTCTACTCAAAACTTTTGCCCATTTTTTGATCGGGTTATTCAACTTTTTTTCTATAGAGTGGTTTGAACTCCTTATATATTCTAGTCATTCATCGTCAGATGGGTAGTTTGTAAACATTTCCTCCCATTCTGTGGGATTTTTACTTTGTTGATTGTTTCCACTGCTGTGCAGAAGCTTTTTAACTTCATGTGATCCCATTTGCCAACTTTTCCTTTGGTTGCCTTTGCTTCTGGGGTATTACTCCAGAAAACTTTTTCCCAGACCAATGTTCTGGAGAGTTTCCCCAATGTTTTCTTATTAGTAGTATCATAGGCTGAAGTCTTGGATTTAAATCTTTAATCCATTTTGATATGATTTTAATGTGGTGAGAGATAGGGGTCTAATTTCATTCTTCCGAGTATTTATATCCAGTTTTCCTAGCACCATGTATTGAAGAGACTATCTTTTCCAACGTGTATGTTCCTGGCACGTCTGTTAAAAATGAGTACACTGTAGCTGTATGAATTTGTTTCTGGGTTCTCTATTCTGTTCCATTGGTCTATGTGTCTGTGTTTATGCCAGTAGTATGCTGTTTTGGTTACTATAGCTCTATAGCCTAATTTGAAGACAGGTAATGCAACTACTCCAGTTTAGTTCTTTTTGCTTAATATAGCTTTGGCTGTTCTGGGTCTCTTGTTGTTACATATATTTTTAGAATTGCTTTTCCTATTTTTGTGAAGAATGTCATTAGTATTTTGATAGAGATTGCATTGAATATGTAGATTGCTTTGGGTACTATGGACATTTAAACAATATTGATCCTTCTAATCCATAAACATGGACTCTCTTTCCATTTTTTGGTGTCCTCTTCAATTTCTTTCATTAGTGTTTTATAGTTTTCATTACTAAGTTCTTTCACTTCTTTGGTAAAGTTAATTGCTAGGTATTTATTTGTGTGTGTGGCCACTGGGATTACTTTTTAAAATTTCTATTTCACATGGTTCACTGTTGGCACATAGAAATGCTACTGATTTTTGTATGTTGATTTCATATCCTGCAACTTTACTGAATTTATCATTTCTAATAGTTTTTTTGTGGAGTCTTTAGGTTTTTCAAAATATAAGATAATATCATCTGCAAACAAGGATAATTTGACTTATTCCATTCCAATTTGGACACGCTTTATTTCTTTCTTGTCTGATTTCTCGGACTTCCAGTACTATGTTGACCAACAGTGTTGAAAGTGGGCATTCTTGTCATGTTCCAGATCTTAGAGGAGAGGCTTTCAGTTTTTTCCCATTCAGTATGATACTAGTTTTGGGTCTGTTTGGATGGCTTTTATTATGCTGAGGTGTGTTCCTTCTATACCCAGTTTTTTGAGGATTCCATTTTTTATCATAAAGGAATGTTGAATTTTATCAAATGCATTTTCAGCATCAATTGAAATGATCATATGATTTTGTCCTTCATTCTGCTGACATGATATATCACACTGATTGATTTGCATATGTTGAACCATCCTGGCATCCCAGGGCTAAATCCCACTTGGTCATGATGAATGATCTTTTTAATTTATTGTTGAATTTGGTTTGCTAGTATTATGTTGAGAATTTTTGCATCAATATTCATCAGATATACTGGCCTGTAGTTTTCTTTTTACAATGTGTTCTTGTCTGATTTTGGTGTCAGGGTAATACTGTCCTTGTAGAATGAGTTTGGAAGTATTCCTTCCTCCTCTATTTATCAGAATAATTTGAGTACTATTGGTATTAGTTCTTTTTAAATATATATATATATGTATATTTATTATACTTTAAGTTCTAGGGTACATGTGCACAACATGCAGGTTTGTTCCATATGTATACATATGCCATGTTGGTGTGCTGCACCCATTAACTCATCATTTACATTAGGTACATCTCCTAATGCTATCCCCCCACCTCCACCCCACAACAGGTCCTGGTGTGTGATGTTCCCCTTCCTGTGTCCAAGTGTTCTCATTGTTCAATTCTCACCTGTGAGTGAGAACATGCGGTGTTTGGTTTTCTGTCCTTGTGATAGTTTGCTGAGAATGATGGTTTCCAGCTTCATCCATGTCCCTACAAAGGACATGAACTCATCATTTTTTATGGCTGCATAGTATTCCATGGTGTATATGTGCCACATTTTCTTAATCCAATCTATCATTGTTGGACATTTGGGTTGGTTGCAGGTCTTTGCTATTGTGAATAGCGCCACAATAAACATACGTGTGCATGTGTCTTTATAGCAGCATGATTTATAATCCTTTGGGTATATACCCAGTAATGGGATGGCTGGGTCAAATGGTATTTCTAGTTCTAGATCCCTGAGGAATCGCCACACTGTCTTCCACAGTGGTTGAACTAGTTTACAGTCCCACTAACAGTGTGAAAGTGTTCCTATTTCTGCACATCCTCTTCAGCACCTGTTATTTCCTGACTTTTTAATGATCGCCATTCTAACTGGTGTGAGATGGTATCTCATTGTGGTTTTGATTTGCATTTCTCTGATGGCCAGTGATGATGAGCATTTTTTCATGTGTCTGTTGGCTGCATAAATGTCTTCTTTTGAGAAGTGTCTTGTTCATATCCTTCGCCCACTTGTTGATGGGGTTGTTTTTTTCTTGTAAATTTGTTTGAGTTCTTTGTAGATTCTAGATATTAGCCCTTTGTCAGATGAGTAGATTGCAAAAGTTTTCTCCCATTCTGTAGGTGGGCTGTTCACTCTGATGGTAGTTTCTTTTGCTGTGCAGAAGCTCTTTAGTTGAATTAGATCCCATTTGTCAATTTTGGCTTTTGTTGCCATTGCTTTTGGTGTTTTGGTATTAGTTCTTTAAATGTCTGATAGAATTCAGTGGTGAAGTGATTAGGTCCTGGGCTTTTCTTTATGGGGAGACTTTTATTATGGCTTTGATCTTGTTACTTGTTATTGAGTCTGTTTAGCTTTTGGATTTCTTATTTTTAATTTTTTGAGGAACCTCCATAATGTGTTCCAAAATGGTTGTACCAATATACATACCACCAACAGTGAATAAGGTTCCACTTTTTTCTACATTCTTACCAATACTTATCTTTCATCTTTTTGATTGCAGCCACTCTAACGAGTATGAGGTGATAGCTCAAGGTTTTTATTTGCATTTCCCTGATGATTAGAGATGTTGGGCATTTTTTCACATATGTGTTGGATTTCTGTATGTCTTCTTTTGAGAAATGTCTATTTAGCTCCTTTGTCCATTTCTTTATCAGTCTATTTGTTTTTGTGCTATTGAGCTGTGTGAGTTTCTTATATATTTCATATATTAACCCCTTATCATATATACCGTTTGGAAATATATTCCCTCATTCTATGAGTTATTTATTCTCTATTGATTATTTGCTGTGCAGAAGATTTTTTAGCTCGATGTAATCTCATTTGTCTGTTTTTGCTTTTGTTGCCTGTGTTTTGATCATCTTGAGTATTATCCCAGAATATAATGGAACATTTCCCTATGTTTTCTTCTAGTAGTTTTATAGTTTCAGGTCTTATCTTTAAGACCTTAAACAATTTTAAGTGGATTTTTAAATATGATATGAGTGGAGGATCAAAAACCATTCTTCAGCATGTGGACTGTCAGTTTTTCTAGCATCACGTATTGAAAAGATGCTTGTTTCCCTATTGTATTTTCTTGGCATCTTTGTCAAAAATTGATTGACCGTAAATGGATGGATTTCTTTCTGGGCTCCCTATTCTGTTCCAGTGGCCTATATGTATATTTTTTGTACTGTTTATGTGTACTTGGAAAAGACAGTTATGCTCTCAGGCCTAATTTCTTAATCTATGAAATGAAGAAGGAGAAGAAGGAAAAGCAGAATGGGCAGAAGGAGACAATGATTATAAAAGCTAAAATTTATTAGGTAGTTAAAATTATATTACTATACCCATATACTCACTTTTCAAACACATCCTATGAGGTAAATACTATCATTTTATGAAGCCAGTATCATCTTAATACCAAAACCAGGAAAGGACATAACAAAAAAACAAAACTACAGACCAATATCCCTGATGAACATAGATGCACAAATCCTCAACAAAATACTAGCTAACCAAATCCAACAGCATATCAAAAATATGATCCACCATGGTCAAGTGGGTTTCATACCCAGGAAACAGGGATGGTTTAACAAACACAAGTGATCTTTTTAATGTATTGTTTAATGTGAATTAAAACAGAATTAACATAAACAGAATTAAAAACAAAAATTAGATAAACATAATTATAAATAAAAATCACATGATCATCTCAATAGATGCAGAAAAAGCATCCGAGAAAATCCAGCAACTCTTTATGATTAAAAACCCTCAGTACAATTGGGATAGAAGGGACATACTTTAATGTAATAAAAGTTGTTTATGACAAACCCACAGCAAACATAATACTGAATGGAGAAAAGTTGAAAGCATTCCCTTTGAGAACTGGAACATGACAAGGATGCCCACTCTCACCACTTCTATTCAAAATAGTACTGGAAGTCCCAGCCAGAGCAATCAGACATGAGAAAGAAATGAAGGGCATCCAAGTCAGTAAAGAGGAAGTAAAACTGTCACTCTTTACCGATGATATGATCGTATACCTGGAAAATCCTAAAGATTCTTCCAAAAAGCTACAGAACTGATAAATGAATTCAGCAAAGTTTCAGGATACAAAATTAATGCACACAAATCAGTAGCTCTGCTGTACACCAACAGCGACCAAGCTGAAAATCAAATCAAGAACGCAACCCCTTTTTACAATAGCTGCAAATAAATAAATAAATATATAATACTTAGGAATGTATCTAACCAAGGAGGTGAAAATCCTCTATAGGGAAAACTACAAAACATGGCTGAAAGAAACTATTAACAACCTCTTTCTGTGTAAGGAGCATTATACTTTGAGAGATTAAGTAGCCTGTTTAACATTACAAAGTTATTAAATATGGAGTTTAAATTTAAACCCTAATCTCTATGACTCCAACACCAAAGCTCTTAGACACTGTGCTATTTGGGTGTGCCTAATTATGGTTTTGTTGTGAAGGTTAAATGAAATAATGAATGTGAAATAACACTGAAAAATATATTTGTTATTATTGCACTTAAATGACAACAATTTAGTCATTCTTTAGTCTTCTTTTTCCAGGTCGTTTCACAGGTATTCCAAGATAAAGCTACTATAAATTATCCCACTAACAAGTAGTTGGGGAAATTTTCTTTCAAATTATAAGACTGTTAAGATTTCTTTTTATCCAGAGATGATATCTGTAATCCACAAAACCAGATTTCTTATTGACAATAATTTTCTCTGCTTTGTTTGGTAGTATTAAGTGATAAGAAGCATATGTGCTGATATAGAAACATAAGTATCTGTTTTGACCCAATGAGGACTTGGAAAGTATCATTCCTCAAATTGAAAAATATAACATAATATAAATATAATTAGTGGATTTACAAATGTTGGGCTGAATCAATAAACAAAATCGAAGGTAATCATAATTCCAATGAGAGAATGTTTAATTTTAACAATGTGAAAACAACATAGCTCATAAAAATGTAGACGATGAGGAAGGGAGACGAGGTAGAGAGAAACATGGAGCCATTATTTAAAGATAAGAATAGAAAAAACAAAACTAAAAAAAAAATAAGAATAATTGCAAAAAGTAGTCTGGGAGGGGCAGTAGAGGGTAGTAATATAAGACAGTAAATTTCCTATCACTGATTGTGTGTTGTTAATAATTACTGTGTGAAACGGATACATTTTTAAAATTAGCATAATAGAATAATTTAGGATTTTAAAACAAAAGGAGTCAATTACAAGAAGGGTTGTGTAGTCATTAAGGAGTGTGGATTGGGGTGGTAGTGTTTTCCTTTTAAATTTATGCCTTTTGGTGTTACTTGAATTTTTATTTTTGTTTTTACCATTTGCATGTGTTACTTTTAGAGTAATAAAATTATCACATAGCTAACCCAAAAGCAATCCAGTTTGAATGTCAGACAATAGAGAAAGGAGAAAACTTGCCTTAGATACCAGATACAGGTATAAAAATAACAGAGATGAATCTCTTAAATGTAATGTTGAGTGAAAAAAAGCAAGAGATAAAAGTATGTATTTATTTAGATAAAATTCAGAAATGGATAATCGACTATATTATTTAGGGATCCATGTAAGGTTGGTAAAACTAAAGGAAACCAAGTAACTGATTATTACAAAGCACAAATTATGGCTATCTTAAGGGAGGAGGGAACTGTGATCTGGGAGGGAAACAACAGAGGTTTTTGGGGTCCCTATACTTGTCTATTTCTTGACCTGAGTGGTGGGTACTTGACACTTATTAGAAAAGGAAGACTATGGGCCAATTTCAATATAAAATAGTGCTCATACTTATTAGATTTCAAGGAAATTAAAATTTAAACCACAAAGATACATTTGCATACACCTACTAGTTTGCCAACAATGTGAGAGTTGTTAGTATACCTATATTAAACATAGAAACATATACTGTATAGTATACATATATGTAACAAATATATTTATAATAGTCTTCTATAAATGATAAACTCATACATATGTAATATGTAACAAATATATTTATAATACACTCTTCTATATATGATAAACTCATACATATGTAGTATTTCTCATAATTTTTAAAAATGACTTCATTTCTCCCCTGAACAAAAGACACCATGGGGCCAGGTGCTGTGGCTCATGTCTGTAATCCCAAGACCTGGAGAGGCCGAGGCGGGTGGATCACCTGAGGTCAGGAGTTCGAGACCAGCCTGGGCAACATGGTGAAACCCCATCTCTACTAAAAGTATAAAAAAAAAAATTAGCCAGGCATGGCGGTGCATGTCTGCAGTCCTAGCTACTTGGGAGCTTGAGGCAGAAGAATTGCTTGAACCTGGGAGGCAGAGGTTGCAGTGAGCCGAGATCACGTCATTGCACTCCAAGCTGGGCAACAGAGCAAGACTCTGTCTCAAAAAAAAAAAAGATGTCATGATCAAGTAGAATTTTTTCCAAAGACACTACAACAAAGGAAAATTACAGACCCATAACCTTTATAAAAATCATTAAAAATTAAACATAGAACTACCATATGGTCAAGGAATCCCACTACTGGGTACATATCCAAAGGACATGAAATAAGTATGTTAAAGAGCTATCTGCACTCCCATGTTCAATGCAGCATTGTTCACAGTAGCTGAGACATAGAAACAACCTAAATGTCCACTGATGAATAATGGACAAGGAAAACATGGCATACATAATGTCCTCCAGCTTCATCCATGTTATCAAAAATCACAGCATTTCCTTCTTTTTTAAGGTATTCAGGCTTATGTTGAATAAAGTAAGTCAGACACAAAAGGACAAATACTACATGATACCAATTATAAGATGAATCTAAAATTGTCAAACTCATAGAGGCAGTGAATGGAATGGTTGCTAGGGACTTGGAGGGAGAAAGGAGGGTCAAAGGTATAAACTTTGGTTATACAAGGTGTGTAAGTCCTAGAGATCTACTGGACAGCATAGTGCCTATAATTAACAATATTGTGTTGTAAACTTACAATTTTGCTAACAAAGTAAATCTTAACATTAATTATTCTTATCATACAAATAATAATAAAGAAATTGGGAGCAAACTTTTAGAGGGGATGAACAAGTTCATGGCATAGATTGTGGTTGATGGTTTCACAGTGTATTCTTATTTCCAAATTCATTAAGTGGTATATATTAAATATGTACAACTTTTTGTATGTCAATCATACCTTAACTATTTTTAAATAATCAATTTTATTTCTTATACACTAGTAATGAACAATCTAAAAATGCAATTAAGAAAAAGATTTCATTTATGATAACATCAAAAAGAACTAAATATTTAAAAATAAATGTAACATAATAAGTCAAGGCCCATACACGGAAAATTACAAAACATAGTTGAAAAAATTAAAGAAGACGAAGATAAAAAGAAATATATTTTATGTTTATGTGTTGAAAGATTTAACACCGTTAAGATGGACATACTCTTCAGATTGATATACATATTCAATATAATCCCTACCAAAATCCCAGCTGCTTTATTGGCAGAAATTGACAAGCTAATCCTAAAATTCATATGGAAATGCAAGGGACCCTTGGCATAAAGAAAGATATATACATAGGCAAAACAGAATTGAGAATCCAAAAAGCAACCCATATATATACATCCATGGTCAATTGATTTCTGACAAGGCTGCCAACACTATACAATGGGGAAAAGAATAATCTTTCCAACAAATGGTGTTGGGACAACTGGAAAATCACATGCAAAATAATGAAGTTAGATACTATCCTATACCATATATAATAACTCAAAATGGATCAACAACCTAAATATAAGAGCTAAAGCTATAAAACTCATGAAGAAATTATAGGAATAAATCTTTGTCAACTTGAGCTAGACAACTGTTTCTTAAATGTGATACCTGAAGTCTGACCAAAGAAAATACAGATAAATTGAACTTCATCAAAATTAAAAACATATGTGCTTCAAAGGACAGCAAAATAAATTGAAAATGCAAGCCACAAACTAGGAGAAAATACATGCAAATCACTTATCAGATATGTGCCTTATATGCAGAATATATAAAAACTCTTACAACTCAACCATAAAAAGACAAATAACCCAATTTAAAAATGGGTAAATATTTTAAATAGACATTTCTCCAGGAAAGATATAAACATGGCCAGTAAGCACATAAAAAGATGCTCAGTATAGTCATTAGGAAAATGCAAATCAAAATGAGATAGCAGTTCACATCCACTAGGATGGTTACAATAAACGTGACAGACGATAATAAATGTTTAAGAGGATAGAGAACAATTAGAACCATCATTCATTGCTGGTAGGATTACAAACTGCTATAGCCAGTTTGGTAAGCAGTTTGGTAGTTCTTCAAAATGTTAAATGTTACTATATTACCCAGGAGTTTTTTCAAAATGTTATAGGTTTACCATACTATTCAGCAATTTCACTTCTAGCTATACACCCAAGAGAAATAAAAACATATATCCATAGATAAAGTATGTGAATGTTCATAGCAGCATTATTGCTAATAGCCCCAAAGTAGAAACAACCCAAATATCTATCAAGTCATGAATGGGTAAATAAAATTTGCTTTATCCATACAATGGAATATTACTTGTGAATAAAAAGTAATGAATGATTAATAAATGCTCCATAATGGACAAACCTTGAAAGCATTATGCTAAGTGAAAGACTAGCTAAAAATACCACATAGTGTATTATTCTATTTATCGAAATATCCAGAATAGGTAAATAAATAAAGAGAGAACACAGACTGATGTTTTCCAGGGCCTGGGGAAGGGGAGAATGGGAAGCAACTGCATAATAGGTAGGGCGTTTCTTTTGGAGTGATGAAAATGTTTCAGAATCAGAGAGAGTGGTTGTACAGTATTATGAAAGCCCTAAATGCTACTAAATTGTATAGTTTAAAATGGTTAATTTTATGTTATGTCAATTTCACCTCAATAAAAAAATAAAGGTTGGAAAAAAGAAACTATTTCCCAAACGGGTTCACTTGTCTCCATCTTCACTATTCACCTTCTAGTCAAAGCTCTGCCCTCTCTCACCCAAACCACTGACATAGCCTTCTAACTGGAATTACTGCTTTTAGTTTTGCCTCTCTATGATACATGCTCCACAGAGCAGCCAAAAATGACCTTTTAAACTTAAACCAGATCCTATCACTCACTTCTTCCAGTAGTGTGTCATTGCACTTAGAATGAAATCCGAATACCCTACCTTAGCCCCACTACATGATCTACACCTTGTTCCCTTCTCCAAAGTCATGTGGTACCATTTTCACTCTGGCCCTTCCTTTGTTTCTGGATCATAACAGCCTCCTTTCTGCTGTGCAGCCTTTGGATTAGTTGGTCTCTTTCCTTTACTGGCTTCTCGTTATATAGTGTTCCGCTTAAACCTCAGAGAGTTCTCTAAACTCCCAGGCAAAAGTAGCCACCTAAACACTCGTTTCTTTTTGTCATAGTATTTTACTTCTTGACAAGCATCTTCAAAGCTGGTATTTTCTTTGGCTTGTTTCTCATTCGTTTCTTTATCATCTACTATCCCCAGAGCACATATTTTGGAATTATACTGCTAGGTTTCTAATCCCAGCTCTGTCACTTTTGGGGCAAATTATAATATCTGTACATAATTCATAAGGTTGTTGTGAAGCTTAGATGTAATTTTTATAGAATGCTTAAAACTTTAGTAAATGCTAAAAAGCTGTAGTATATGCTAGTTATTATTATTATTTATTTTCAATTCTTTTAGTGATCATCCATATAAATGATGACATTTGGTATGATTTTCATATATTCAAACCACATCTTTATATTTTTTTCTTTTTCTGTTGGTTTTATGTTACCTAGAAAAAGCATCTGTTTTTTCAGATTTCTATGGTTCTGTGAGCAGTTTCATCCTTCTGACATACATACACTATCAAAATAATAAAAGTTGCTCAGTCCTTTACTTCCCTTGCAGCAATTAGGTGGGACATCTCTGCTGTCCTTATCCCTTCCCTAAGAGCTTCCCATCAACATTCTTCTTATCTGAGGGATCTGTGAGTAGCCTTCTCCAGTCTACATATTCCTTCACAAATACCCACCTCACAGAAACACTGGCTCCAGTGTCCTGAGAGCCACAGAGTTAAGGTAACAAATATGGAGGGGACTAGCATAGCTGATAGGGGATTCTGAAGGTACAACACCACATTCACATTTGTGCTTGGTGAGGGAAAAGTAACTGTCTTAGGGTGAAGCTTCAGTAATAGTTATAAAATCAAGGAAGTGAGAGGGCTCACTGAGAAATGGCTTTTGAATTTCCAGCTAGTGGGAGATCATCCAGGTAAACAACAAAGATGAAAAACAATGATCAAATAGACAGAAAAACAAACTTGTCAGAAAAAAATAGGTTATCTCCTAAACACTCATCAACTTATAGTTTTACCATATTCACTGAATCTTTTGTATATGTAGACAGTCATTGCTATTTGTAGGTATACTGAGAACTCTAAAGTCTTTAGAAAGCCATGAAACTGACATAGCAACATTTTAAAGCATAAAACAGGGATTCTAATTGAGTAGAACTGTTGTAAAACATCACACAATTCTATTGCTCTGAAAATATTAATATGATCCTCCAGGATACAAATGCACCTTCACTGAAATAAATTATGAACTAAAAGTATTCTTGATTATTTTATCTTACAAAGTGAAGAGACTGTATATTTTATATTTATATTTTCCATGCACAGTGGTCTGTTCTTCCATTATCTTTTCTTATGAGAGGCATAATGACAAATAAGTCCAAAGAATGTGTAGCATTATTATGGCAGATCAATCAAATGGCTAATTACCCCTCTTATCTAAGTGGCATTATCTTGCTTTAAAGGTGATGAAAATAACAAATGAAGAAGTTATTTCGTTTTTTAAAAACAATTCTGTAAGGAACCAGTCTATCACTGATGGGCATTTGGGTTGGTTCCAAGTCTTTGCTATTGTGAATAGTGCTGCAATAAATATACATGTGCTTGTGTCTTTATGGTAGAATGATTTATAATCCTTGGGGTATATACCCAGTAATGGGATTGCTGGGTCAAATGGTATTTCTGATTCTAGATCCTTGAGGAATCACCACACTGGTTGAACTAATTTATACTCCCACCAACACTGTAAAAGCATTCCTATTTCTCCACATCCTCTCCCCAGAATCTGTAGTTTCCTGACTTTTTAATGATCACCATTCTAACTGGCGTGAGATGGTATCTCATTGTGGTTTTGATTTGCATTTCTCTAATGACCAGTGATGATGAGCTTTTTTTCATATGTTTTTTGACCACATTAAAGAAACACCACAGAGAAGCAGATTTCTGAGAAAACTTTGTTATAGATAAAAGCAACAGAATTTATTTCACGATATTATTAACTTTTCAAAGTGAAAATGCTATTTCAAACACCAGCCTATTTAAAGTGTTAACTTATAAATGTCATTGCCTGTCTGTGACATAGCAAAAGAAAAGTCACAGCCTTATAAAAAGCACAATTTCAATAAAGAATTATTGCATAAAAAATAGAGCACAGATTAAAACAAAGTCTGGTTGTGAGAATTTTTCTTACTTAGTTTCCATTCTTAAAGTAACTGCTTCATTTTAGTAAGACAGCAATATTAAAAATGAACCTCGGCGGGGCGCAGTGGCTCACGCCTGTAATCCCAGCACTTTGGGAGGCCGAGGCGGGTGGATCACGAAGTCAGGAGATGGAGACCATCTTGGCTAACATGGTGAAACCCCATCTCTACTAAAAATACAAAAATATTAGCCGGGCGTGGTGGCACGCACCTGTAATCCC
The DNA here is from genome assembly GCF_000001405.40 of Homo sapiens. NCBI lineage: Eukaryota > Metazoa > Chordata > Mammalia > Primates > Hominidae > Homo > Homo sapiens. Next base: position 44,262,719 of record NC_000012.12, on the reverse strand, counting down.
AGCTACTCAGGAGGCTGAGGCAGGAGAATCGCTTGAACCCAGGATGCAGAGCGAGATTCCATCTCAAAAATAAATAAATAAGTAAATGAACCTCATGCAATGAAAATCATGGTAGATCACATTAATTTAACTGCTACAGAATTATATGACAGCAAATCACATGAAACTTTTTTACTCTGGTGGCTATCTTAGTATGAAGGTCTTTTATACTTTTATAGTTTGGACAAGATAACCTCTTTCATTTCCATCAAACACGTGGGTTTGTGGAAGCAACACGAATGAACAGACTTCTCTGTTTTACTGGTTCTACCAGAATAACCACAGGATCCTTGGTCATGTTTTAACTCTCTCTTCAGTTTTCTACTTTCTGCCAAGGGAAAATAAAGTTTTCTTGCTATATTTATATTACATAGCTTCCTAAAACTAAACAATGTATGAGTATAGTATATACTAGACACTGGAATTCACACATGTACATACACACCGCATAGTGTGTGTGTACAAATGGAAAAATTTGTGGTACTATCAAAATTTTAGCCTATTGACTATAGTCAGCATAACCTTTTACACTTTTTTCTCCTTATTTTAAAGGCAGGACTTACTTTTTGCATAAAATATTCAGGAAAGTCTCTGGAGAAGCTGGTTCACACCTACATTAATCCTTACAGGTATTTCTTTTATAAAAACTCCACATGGATTTCCTTTTAATAGCAAAAACATTGGCTGTTTACATTCCATTTCATTAAACAAGGTAATTCTCCACCTTTGAACAAAAGTCATTAACTTGTAATTCATACCCAAATCAATAGAGAATTACAATAAGATGAATCTTGCAGGGTGTAAAGGAAAAGCTAGTTCAGAACTTCATTCAGAAGGGCTTCCTGGCTTGCTTTAATTGAATTTCACTCCAATGCTTTGTTCCAAACACCATCCAAAATGCTGCGCATGTGAAGGTTTCTCAGAGATTCCTACTTCTCAATTTACCACTAAACTGGGAAAATTACTGTGGTTTTCTTTATAAGCGAAATGTCATAATAGCAACAGCAGGATTATTCAACACCATCGTACCTTCCATCTATGTTCCTATTATTCAAATTGGACTGTTTCCTTAAGCTTTATTTTTTTAATATGACTTCTCCCCATAGCGATACTATTGATAAGAATCTGTAGCATCAAGTTTTTTTAAAATATAAACCTTGAAGCCAAAGCAGTACCAAGACAGCCCAAATCCTCAGTAATATCAAAAAGCTTTTTATCCATTGTGCAAAAAAATCCAGACTACTGATTTCATAAATACCAAAATTTCAGAATTGTTTTGCATTTTCCACATTATAGTTTGATATTTTAAATCAGATAGCACGTGAGAACATTAGTTTTCCAGTTAGGCAGAGTCGTGTTTGAATCTTTACTATTTACTGATTAAGCAATAATAAAAGCAAGCTATTTACCTTTTCTGAGCCTTAGCTTCTTCATCTGAGATAGCGATAAGCCACCCTTCAGTTCTTTACTGAGTTAATCATGTGAAGTGCCTATAAGATTGCTCCATAAATAATTTCTGTTTTATAGACATTATTGATTTTTTAATTGATTTTTTTAAAAAAATGTTTTAAGATGGACCAAAGATCCAATACGCATTAATGTAACTTGTATATACTCACAATTTTAAAATCTATTTTAAAAATCCAAGACATAATTGGATAATGTCCTGTAAAGGACATAGTTATCAGTTAATAGAGATTATTATACAAGAAACATGCTATATAAAGTTCAATGTGCCACTCACAATTACAAAATAGAATATTTTAAAAGCAGCTTGCTAAAAAAATTTGTCTCTCTTTTTACTTGTGGAGTCTGATTAAGATACTTAAATCTCAAGATTTATGCCCATCTGCCTCTCCTCTCACTGCCAGGATCTATGATTTGCACATGGTTTTCCACTGTGAAACTAGCTGGGGTGGGAAGGGGTGGAGGATGGTTTTAAACAAGACAAAACAAAACTAATCTCTATCCGTAAACAGATATTTGTTTTTCCCTTCTAAACTCATGTAGTCTGAAGTACATGCTGGGGCAAATGATAACCAAAGTAACCAACTTTAAAATAATTTTATGACTAGAGCAATTTTCCCTTATATTACCAAATAATAAATACTGTATGTTTCTATTTGTTTTTGTATTTACCATAGAGGTTAATAATAGATATTACCAATGGATTAAAAATAGAGGATATTAGAAAATGGAAAGTTATTTACTAGTAAGCACTTTTTCTTTGTAAGTATGAATTACAGCATCCTTTAGGTACAATTTCATTTGAAATCACACAGCTTCTCATCATGAAAGGAGTCTTTGTACTTGTGCACCTGATGGCCGAGGCAGCATATGAGGAAAGGTTTAGACTCCACTTAGCCAGAGGGCAAGTCAAAAAATCACAAGTGAGTCTGTAAGACACAATCTCATTACCATAAAAATTACCAGTGTAAATACGGTGGTAACTCAAATTGCTGAAGAACATGCTTTCTCACCTTTCACTAACCTGCAGATATCTGTGGCAATAATGGCCTTAGTGGCCAAGGCAGGTCTTCTGGACAGAAGAGCTAAGTGTCATGGAAAGACGCTTCTTGTACCATCGGTCCCTACGTTGGCCTGGGAGCAGTAGGGAAAATGTCCACAGCCAATTCTGACCAGTGAAACCAATTAGCAGAACCTAGTCAAGGGAGGTTTCACATGGTGTTCTAAATGTTCTCAGATATCATATAAATCTCCAAAATTTTTCATGGCGGTTTTTAAAATAAGAAACGATTGGTTCTTAACTAAAAATCATTACATAAACTGATGTCCTTCATTCTTCAACTCATCAAATAGCAGTAGTGCTAAATGTGGGCCAGGTTACAAATAATTTTATAACGAGTTCTTGTTGCTTTTTAAAAATACATGTTTCAAATGCTTTTTTTCTAATTCAAATACATAATTTTAATTCAAAAAGGGTAATTCTATTTTTAATATGGCCACTGTTATTATTTACTCATTATAACAATAAGGATGCATGGAAACATTTAGATAAAGTTCCTATTTCAGTGAATGCCATCACTTACTATTCCTTGTGGAACATACTTAATTACCTACTAAGGTTGGAGAAGTCTTGTGTAACTTTTACCGACAATTATCGTAATGACCATCATCATTCCCAAAGATCAATTTAACATAACTCCTTGAAAGAAGTCCGTATCTTCATGAATTTCCTGGAAAGTCTTAAAATAGAAAGAAAAGTATTTGCGCAGTGAGACCATAAAGACTGACAAACTTTGCTTTGAATCCTGACTCAGTCCCTTTAGTAAGCTTTGTAATAATCATATTAAACATGTTTTTGAATCATCTGAGATTCAGTTTCCTCATCTTAAAACTGCAGTTATAATAACCACATCATAGAGTATGGTGAAGACTATGTGAGATAATTTATATAATTCACACAGCACATTGTAGGGACTCATATTGTAGGTTGCTATATAGCTGGAACATTTAGTATAATGCTGGCCACCTCAATACCAAGAGAGCTCACTCCATTAGCGGAGCTGCTGTACCTCCTATGCAGTTTAGTAAGAAACAATGACATGGGAAATGCTAAAGGGATAACAGAACACTAATATGAAAAGTGAAGTACATTTTTATATTTTACTCAAATGTTTTGTATACAAAGGCAGAAATACAACACAAGCCACAAATCAATAAAATCAATTTAAAATTATGAATTTGATATTTTATATTTTTTCTTAATGAATTCTTGACATCCATGGTGACTTTATGCTTACAGCACATCTCAATTCAGACAAATTTCAAGTGCTCAGTAGCTATATGTAGCTAATGGCTCCTGTATTAGAAAATGAACATTAATGAACATCTGGCTGAATTCATCAATATTCATCTCAATGTTCCAGCAGTCTCTGGACACAGCCACAACTACACATTTGCTAATTCTGTAAAGTTTATATGTGATTCTCAAGGATAGCTGTATTCTCCACTGAGATGACTTAAAAGAAACCCTGACTATTGAATTGTGAAAAGCTTTCCAAAATAAAATGTAATTACAAATGTTTTGAACCAATCTTTAATTATTTTTTCAAAAGAGTTTGAATAAATATAGATTCTTTCATTTAACAAGGTTGATTTTTCTTCTGTTAAGAATTTAAATAACAGAAATGTCAAAACACTCTAATCTTTTTTTTCCTGGTGATGCTTTAATGTTAAAAATATTTCTCTAGAATACACACCATATGTCATGAGGGAAGAAGAAAAAATGTTTTCCATAAGTGAATGAAACTTCATAATCAGCCATATGAGCTACAAGTCTTTTAAACTCTTGAAAGAAATAGAACAGCCATTACTCAATGAGGCCACGGCTGCTCATTATACATAGACAGTAATTACCTGAGGTAAGAGGAACTAATGTCAAAAATATATAAAAACATTTTTGAATGTAATAGAATGAACAGGGAGGTCATTTATGCTTTGGAGGGGTTTGTACTATCTAGCATCAAAAATTACATAAAAAATGCATTTTGTTGATAAATGCCCACCTAATGCTTTGGTAGCTACAGAGTTGAATTCAAAGCTAAGCCAAGATAAAGAAATTCCTTGGGAAAAGATAATTAAATCTCTATTATGAAAAAGGTAATTTTCAAACTATGTTCTGTCTTCTCATAAAGGTAATAAATATTAATAATCTCCAGGTTTCCTAATCTATTTATTTTAAATATACTGGATTAACATTATTCTAAAGAATACTACTAAAATTAACATAGTTATGACTTAATAGCAATGAGTTCAGAAAGATTATGTCAAAAATAATTCTGGCAAAATCCAAAAACATATGTGCATAATATATACTTTATTTAAAAATAGAAACACCATATTTTCTCATAAATTTCCTCCTTATTGCATATGATATATTTTTGTTCGGAGAGGAAAATGTAAAATAAGCTGTGTCTCCTGTATAATGTGTTTTATTCAGGGTGCAGCACCAGAGACATGGGTGTCAAGTGGGATCTATGTTGGAGTAGTTGATTTGGCTTTAGGATGCCAAAGGTAGTGATTTACAATGAAATCTATATGGCAATTTGCCCCAATACCAGTGAAAATTCTGGTCAGGAGAAAAGGTTTTATGTAGAGGAGAAACTCGAAATCAGATATTAGTAGCAACTATTGTTTCAAGCTACCAGTCCTTTGAAGACACAACCCTAGCAAGTAGTTGAGGATATGACAGGCAAGGTCCTTCCTCTACTGGAGATGGCTAAAAGGACTAGACATTGTGTCAAGATCTGGATTCGAGACAGAGCTCCAATCCCAAAACAGAATGGTAAAGACAAACAACAAATGGAGTGGACACCTATATATAGAGAGAGAGTCAACGTGTCAAAAGGGTGAGAAGAATCAGCAAATGGATAGGAGTGCAGATGCCTACGGCTCCGCTCAAGCACATAATATTGAGCCCAGGGCAGCAGGACTACTTCTAAACCACCGTAAGAGGAAAACTCTTCCCATGGGTGTGCAACTTCTCCTTCTCTCTGCCTCTTTCTTCTTTGCTTGAGTGATGTGTTCTCCAATGACCTAGCATATAGGCTATTTGAGGATTCGATCAAGTCACATACAAATAAACATCTAGTATGCAATAGATATTTCATAAATCCTTTCTTCCTTTATGTGAAGAAGGGTTAACTAGGAGGAATAAAAAAGTCATTTGTCAGGGTCAGCAGGGACCCAGTCACAGACCAGGAAAAGAGAAGGCAGTAACCATAGAACATATATGTGTAAATAATGGCCAAGTTACAAACCCTTTTAGGAAAGACTTAAAACCAAACAATCATTATATACTGAGACAGGTAAAATCAATAACCTGTAGAAACAATTGCACATATTTAAAAATAATGATGATGCTTCAAGGGTATTGATTTTTTAAAACAAACGTTTCTTTGATTATCCTAAATAATGCTATTCTGAGAAACAGAAATCAAGTAAGATGAAAGCCCATGTTATTTTATACATTTTAATTGCATCTGCAAACACTTTTTGGGGTTTCTGACATCATATCAATTCCTATTGCATTATATTACTACTGGATATATCTTTCATCATAAAACTCAAGAATGCATAGTAATCTATAGCAGCAAAATTCCACATTGTATAAATCTACATCAAAATTCACATGAAATATCCATGTATTATTTATAAGAGTAATTTCATCTTGTGAATCTGATCAAATTATAAATAATGAGATGAAACCTGAAATGGAATTTAACTTTATTGAAATATGTGATTGCATATTTCTTCCTTCCTTCATATTTAAAAGGTTAAAACATGACATTTTGGGTCCACATTCAATAGTAAGTAGTTTAAATATAATAATGAGATTCCATATATCTGACCAATGCAATAAAAAAGCAGGCAAAAGTCTTGTTCCTTTCAACATACATACATTGTTTTATATGCACATATGTGTAAATATAAAATTTTTATATAAATTTAAGTATACATAAATTTATATATATCCTTATTCTGTGGGTATGTATGTGTATATGTATGCACATAGTGTGTACATATGTGTTTATGTTTATTTTTAATTTAAAGTTTTACAAAAATGCTGACCACAAATGATGTTCCTAACTAGTGTTTTTAGTAATATGAGTTATAAATGACTTATATAAATAATTTAATATAAAATCTGCTTGAGGATATGAGGAATGGTCTGGATTGGCTTTCTGAGTCAGGTTATTAATAATTTGCTTCACTGAACAACAATACTATAGTTATCATCAGTGTCCAGTAATGACATTCTCTTTCTGAAATATGAGGATTGTTTTCCAAAACATATTTTCCATGTTAAAAAATATTTTTTAAATGCTAATAGAAAAACACAGAAAAGGGTATAGCGGAAAATGAAATTATCCCTCCAGTAATGCAGTGGTTGATTTTTTGCCAGTATTTTGTTATTCTTTGGCTGTATTTTATTCCTGTATTTTCTCTATACCTATGCATGTATATGTGTATGCATGTGTCTGTGTTACCAAATTGTGATCCTACCATGTCCAAGTTTATATCCTGCTTTTACAATTAACTGCTTACATTGTGGATATTTTTAAGAAAAATCAAACACACTATCATTCAAACATGCTATCTTACACAGCTGTGTAATATTCCATGATATAAATTTATCTAACTTACTTGGACTCGTTATTAGACATTTAGTTACTATATGTCATATATGTCAGTGTTATATGTCAGTATTATAAATCCTAGTTAATATCTGGTACTTTCAATTTGCATTTCTCTGATGGCCAGTGATGATGAGCATTTTTTCATGTGTTTTTTGGCTGCATAAATGTCTTCTTTTGAGAAGTGTCTGTTCATATCCTTTGCCCACTTTTTGATGGGGTTGTTTGTTTTTTTCTTGTAAATTTGTTTGAGACTGTAAACTAGTTCAACCATTGTGGAAGTCAGTGTGGTGATTCCTCAGGGATCTAGAACTAGAAATACCATTTCACCCAGCCATCCCATTACTGGGTATATATCCAAAGGATTATAAATCATGCTGCTATAAAGACACATGCACACGTATGTTTATTGTGGCACTATTCACAATAGCAAAGACTTGGAACCAACCCAAATGTCCAACAACGATAGACTGGATTAAGAAAATGTGGCATATATACACCATGGAATACTATGCAGCCATAAAATATGAACAGTTCATGTCCTTTTTAGGGACATGGATGAAACTGGAAACCATCATTCTCAGCAAACTATCGCAAGGACAAAAAACCAAACACCGCATGTTCTCACTCATAGGTGGGAATTGAACAATGAGAATACATGGACACAGGAAGGGGAACATCACACTCCGGGTACTGTTGTGGGGTGGGGGGAGAGGGGAGGGATAGCTTTAGGAGATATACCTAATGCTAAATGACGAGTTAATGGGTGCAGCACATCAACATGGCACATGTATACATATGTAACAAACCTGCACATTGTGCACATGTACCCTAAAACTTAAAGTATAATAAAAAATATATATATATATATCTGGTACTTTCTTAAGACTCGCCCCTAGAAGCAGAATAATTACTGAATCAAGGGTATGACTATTTTATGGATATTTTCCATATTATAAAATTTATTTTTTGAAAGGTTGATTCAAATTACACTCTAGCAGTAGAGTATGAGAATGTTTACTTTTATCTTTTCTAGTAAAAACTTTTTAAAAATCTGGGCTAATTTGATAGATGAAAATGGTACTTAGAGTTTTCATTTCATTTTGTGTTATCAATAATGAGGTTTTTATTTTGTATATTTAGAAGTCATTTCTATGCATTTTTCTGTAAACTGTCTACTTCATAGTGTTCTTCTAATTGATTGATTCTCATCTACTGAGACTATTAATCCTCTTCATACTAATTAAAAACAACTTTCTAGCATGTAAGTCATTTTCAATTTTGTTGATAACTATTTTCTGTCAAGAATATATATATTTTATGTAGTTCAATATATAAATCTTTTTACTTGTGGTGATTTTTCCTTTTAGGCTTAGAAATCTTTTACAGTTCTCAACTCCTCACACATATGCCATTGTAATCTATATTTATTTTTTATTTTTTGCTTCACAGTGGTTATTGTTGTCATTGAGTTGGTTAGCCTGCTTCTATGTTTTTTTTTTTTTTTTTGGTCAAATGAGGTGAAGGGGAAAAAAAATGATGATCAAACTTCACTTTTTTCCAAATAGATGATTTTCCAAGTTTCTCTACTGAGGATAGAAATGTTCTCTGCAGTTTTGTAATGTTTCTTTGAGAGAGAGAAGGTGTGTGTGTGTGTGTGTGTGTGTGTGTGTGTGTGTGTGTGTAGGAATTATCAGTATAGCACAGTAGCTTTTATGCAAGTTCTGAAGTCACATTGGATTTATAACTGGCTTTACCACTTACTAGTGCATCACCTTGAACAAATGATCTCTGTATGCCCACATTTTCTAAGTGTAAAGCATGGATAACAATAATGTCAGCTTCACTATGATGTGAAAATGGCATAAACTAAGCACACAAGGAACCTAGAGAGCACTAGCTCACCTGCTGAGTTAATGGACCCAATCAAGCAATCCTGGATTCTAATCTCTAGATTTGGCTGTGGGAAAAGGGAGCTCCTTATAACCCACAACTGAAATTCAGCATCTCTGCCCTGTGGCTTTCAATTTGGGGAGGCTCATATCGGGTCTTTTCTTACCCTCTGTCGACCTCAGCTTTAGGATTTTGAGTGGATTACTGATCTCCTTTTAAGGTGTTCCCTTAGGATAGACTGAACTTTGCATAAATCATAAAAGACAACATTTTAAGTTCATCATCCTGAACATCCCTTCAAATATGGTGAAAATTTTAGCAGTATTTATCCTGTCTCTTGATTCTTGGACCAGTAACATAATGTTTTAATTTTTGATCATATAATTTAAAAAATAAATCTAACAGGTTAAATATGTGCTCCCTCCCACACACACTCCCCCTATTCATTAATGTTTAATTAGTTATTCTTTTCCTGTGTTTTGACAGGTGATTACACATAAAGTAGAAAGATAATGTTAGAAACATATCATTTTAAACCACAGTCCAAAAATTCACTTGGTTTATAGACATTTGTGTTTCACACAGCAGTAATATTTCTTAGTTAGAGGGTTGCTTTTTTCCTTTTTTTCTCCTCTTTCTCCTTTCTGTTCCTCCTCTTTTTCCGACCTCTTCTTCTTTTCTTTGCTAAATAATTAATAACCACAACCATTAAATTTTACTTCAGAAGCTTTATTATCCTCATTTTTTCTGTAGTGAAATTTTTCCTGGACAGGAGTGGGACTGACATGTCCATACTGCCCCTTTAATGCCTCCTCTGTGTCAAAAATATCCCGCTAGATACTTTTCACAGTCCTGTGGGGAAAACAACTGAAGCTTGGAGGGTTCAATAAGGTGCTCCAGGTTATGTAACTGATAAAGGGATTCCATCCCAGTATAAATCAAACCTGTGTAAACATCAAAGCCAAATCCTAGACAACTATTCTATAAGACTTAACCAAGGGATGTGCAAATGAAGAGGATGGAGCCCTGATTACATAATAGGGATTGGGAGCAGACTTCACAAAAAATGGCATTCAAGCTGAATCTTTGCTTTTTGTTTTTTGTTTGTTTGTTTGTTTGTTTTTGAGACAGAGTCTCACTCTGTGACCCATGTTGGAGTGCAGCGATGTGATCTCAGCTCACTGCAACCTCCACCTCCCAAGTTCAAGCGATTCTCCTGCCTCAGCCTCCTAAGCAGCAGGGATAACAAGTGTGTGCTGCCACACCTGGCTAATTTTTGTATTTTTAATAGGACGGGGTTTTGCTTTGTTGCCCAGGATGGTCTCGAACTCTGGACTTAAGTGATCCGCCTACCTCGGCCTCCCAAAGTGCTGGGATTACAGGTATGAGCCACTGGGCCTGGCCACAGGCTGAATCTTTGGATATGGATAAAGTTTAATAGGTGGAAAAAAAGGAGAAAGGCCTTGTAGGCAAGGGTAGAGCATGATCAGAGTCACCAGAGACGAAGCATGCAGCAAGCTTGTGAAACTGAGAGAAGACTGTAGATAAATTGAAGCACTGATATGTCAAGAGACGAAAAAAGGCTAGCAATGAAGGATGAGCTAGATGCTGTAAAGCCTTGAACATTACGCTAAGAAGTACGCAATTTTTTTCTTTTTTCGCCTGTAAGTAAGGAATCTGCAGTAAGGGAGTAGTGAAGGAGGGGTGGGGTGATCTCTGGGTAGGAAGTTACCACTAAGATAGTAACAGTTTCTAAGAGTGATCTGATCCAATCCACATTTTAAGAAGCTAATGCTGAATGTTTTTGTTTGTTGCTTATTTCTTTGTGGCCTCTGAAATTTTTGTTTGACATATGTAGAGGTAAATAAATGACTTTAAATATTTTCTTTGACCACCCAGGGTATAGAGTTACTAACTCAAAGACTAGTTAGGACTGTTGGTAGATTCAGTGTCAGCTAATAAGGTTATTTGATATTTCCAATTATTCTGTGGTTTGGGTTATAAATTAATCCAATATATACTTTTTTTAAATCCATCTTACATATAAAGTAATGAGCTGTAAAATGTGTCCTTAGTGACGTAGGGCAGTGGTCATACTACACTTGGCCTCATGTTACTATCACAGATGATTAAATGCCAGTTCTCAGTGAAGCTAAATCTATCATCTTATAAGCTACCCTTAGGATTTCATCAATATAAAAAAAGCATCCAACCGATGGCCTTAGAGGCCTTAAATACCAGTGTCCTGAAAGAGGCTTTGAAAGCAACAAGCTTTCACATCTCATAAATTGGCATGACAGATCTGTCAGTAACCACATTTTAAATGCCTCCCTGGGATTTCAAGTTTCCATTTTAGAAGACCTGTTTTCATTTTATATCCCATTAAATTATGATGATACTTCAGCTTTTTCCTTTAATAATGTTGTAAATCTAATTCAAAGGTGAATCCCTGGGCTTTGTAGTGCATCCATCAGAGGTGTCATTCACTCTGGAGTATCAGCCCTCAACCCTATGACACCACGGCATCTTGGACAAGACAATATGTAATGCTGAGTCAAGACGTGCACCAGAGCAATCATGTGACCAAGAACCCTCTCAAAATCTTTATTTTTATTTTTATTTTATTTTACTTTAAGATCCGGGATACAAGTGCAGAACGTGTAGGTTTGTTACATAGGTATACATGTGCCATGGTGGTTTGCTGCACCTATCAACCTGTCATCCAGGTTTTAAGCCCCGCATGCATTAACTATTTGTCCTAATGCTATCCCTCCCCTCGCCCCACACTGCCCACACTGGCCTCAGTGTGTGTTGTTCCCCTCTGTGTCCATGTGTTCTCATTGTTCAACTCCCACTTAGGAGCAAGAACATGCAGTGTTTGGTTTTCTGTTCCTGCGTTAGTTTGCTGAGAATGATGGCTTCCAGCTTCATCCACATCCCTGCAAAGGACATGATCTCATTCCTTTTCATGGCTGCATAGTATTCCATGGTGTATATGTACCACATTTTCTTTATCCAGTCTATCATTGATGGGCATTTGGGTTGGTTCCAAGTCTTTGCTATTGTAAATACTGCTGCAATAAACATATGTGTGCATGTGTCTTTATAGTAGAATGATTTATATTCCTCTGGGTATATACCCAGTAATGGGATTGCTGGGTCAAATGGTATTTCTGGTTCTAGATCCTTGAGGAATTGCCACATTGTATTCCACAATGGTTGAACTAATTTACATTCCCATCAGCAGTGTAAAAGCGTTCCTATTTCTCCACAGCCTCGCCAGTATCTACCGTTTCCTGACTTTTTTATAATAGCCATTGTGACTGGTGCGAACTGGTATTTCACTGTGGTTTTGATTCGCATTTCTCTAATGATTAGTGATGCTGAGCTTTTTTCATATGTTTGTTGGCCACATAAATGTCTTCTTTTGAGAAGTGTCTGTTCATATCCTTTGCCCACTTTTTGATGGGTTTATTTTTTTCCTGTAAATTTGTTTAAGTTCCTTGTAGTTTCTGAATATTGAACCTTTGTCAGATGGGTAGACTGCAAAAATTTTCTCCCATTCTGTAGGTTGTCTGTTCACTCTGATGATAGTTTCATTTGCTGTGCAGAAGTTCTTTAGTTTAATTAGATCCCATTTGTGAATTTTGGATTTTATTGCAATTGCTTTTGGTATTTTAGTCATGAAGTCTTTGCCCATGCCCATGTCCTGAATCGTATTGCCTAGGTTTTCTTCTAGGGTTTTTATGGTTTTAAGTCCTACAATTAAGTCTTTAATCCATCTTGAGTTAATTTTTGTATAAGGTGTAAGGAATGGGTCCAGTTTCTGTTTTCTGCATATGGCTAGCCAGTTTACCCAGCACCATTTATTAAATAGAGAATCCTTTCCCCATTGCTTGTTTTTACATGGTTTGTTGAAGATCAGATGGTTGTAGATGTGTAGTGTTACTTCTGAGGTCTCTGTTCAGTTCCATTGATCTATATGTTTCTTTTGGTACCAGTACCACGGTGTTTTAGTTACTATAGCCTTGTAGTATAGTTTGAAGCCAGGTAGTGTGATGCCTCCAGCTTTGTTCTTTTTGCTTAGGATTGTGTTGGCTACACAGGCTCTTTTTTGGTTCCATATGAAATTTAACGTAGTTTTTTCTAATTCTGTGAAGAATTTCAATGGTAGTTTGGATGGCAGTAGCATTGAATCTATAAATTACTTTGGAGAGTATATCCATTTTCATGATATTGATTCTTCCTATCCATGGAACCCTCTCAAAATCTTGACCATATTTGGAATTTTACCCGTTGTATGGATTCTAGTTGTTTGCTAATTCTATCTCCTGCAGACCTCAGCCTAGAATAATAAACATGTAACTTCGACAAGATATTAGTAGTTGTATACCACATACATTTGAATACAAACCCCTGGAAACACACACACACACACAAAACCCTCCCAACCTTTCCCTACATTAAATATCTTTATTTCCTCTCTTGCTCCTGCTCTGCTATGTGAGATGCCTGCTCCGCTTCACCTTCTGCCATGAGTAAAGGGTCCTTGAGGCCTCTTCAGAAACTGTGCAGATGTCAGCACCATGCTTCCTGTACAACTTGCAGAACAGAACTAATAGGAAGCAGCCTAAAAAAATGAATAAACCCACACACACAAAAGATGAGCCTGAGCAGAAGGACATGCTGGCCCATTTTTCTTCGGGACCATTAACCTCAAAGTTGAAGGCAGAGGCCAAAACTCTGGCTCTGGTTAAGACACAAACAGTGGCTAATGCCAATGAGAAATTTGGAAAACCCCCAGAAAACCAAAAGAAGCTCTCTGACAAAGATATGGCAGTCATCAAGATCCAAGCCTGGTGTTGGGGCACCCTGGTGCATCAGGCACTGTGGAACACAGCCCTCAGCACCTGGATCATTCAGTGCTGATGGTGGCTGATACTGTCCAGGATTCTGGAGATGAGGCAGTGGGCAGGCAGCATTGGAGGACTTCTCACGGGAGGAGTGGGCAGCAGTCACACCGCAGTCCCTAGCCCACATGTGCCACATCTGCCAGCGCTAATGTCACATCCTCAATGCTGTCTGCATCATCCAGGGCTACTGGAGGTGCCTCTGTGTTTCCTGGGGGCTCATCAAGGTTCATTAGAGAGTGATGGCCAACCGCTTACTCTTGAGCTGGAGATCTTGAGGAATTGGCAGGGCTTGTCTGCAGCCCCATGTGGAGAAGGACTCTAGTCCTTATCTAAACTGAACATAAACTGTGTTTGATGAGCAATGTCTGCCATAGGAAGGAAAGTTCAGGGTACAGATCGGTCAATTAGCCAACTCCAGGAAGCATCATTCATGTTTGGTCTATGTAAATGGTGCACCCTCCCCAAGACTGGGTATAATGGAAGCCTTGGGGCTGATAGTGATGGCAATAGCATCAAATTCTCCAGAAATTCACCCATCTGGGTCTAGTTGCTCAGGGTTTGTTCCCTGAACCACACGATTGAGAGGAGTCCACCCATCCCAAACCCTGTGATCCTGTCTCCCCGCCCAACTGGGGGCTATATCCTCATACTTGGCTTCTGAGTCAGAACCTGAGACCCAAACTGGAAGCTGTTAGCATAACCCAAGTCCTCATTCTCATCTCAAACCCTACCTTTCCCTTGCCCTCAAGCCCCACATGGAAGCTAGAACTCATTTCCTCCAGACAAGCCTGGCATAAGAGGTTCCACAGGCAAGGCGGTGGGAGAGAGAGCATTCTGCTGCCAGCCCAACCCTCTGGTGAGTGTCAGACCCCAGGCTATCACAGCACCCTCTCCCCAGGACTAACCTCTTCAACGACTGGTCCAGGCAGAGTTGGCTCCTCTGAAAGTTCCTTCCTGTGAAATACTGCCCCCTGGCATGGGGTTGGGGCATAGGTGATGATAAAGGGCCGATTAAGAGGTCAAGGTTTGCGCTGCTCTGGTGATTAGTGATGCTGAACATGGTTTCATACATCTGTTTGCCATTTAGCAAAAAACAGTGTAATGTATATTTCAGGATACTTAGAAGATTTTGAATGTTGTCACCACAAAGAAAGGATAAATGTTTAAAGTGATGGATATGGTAAATACTCCAATTGATCATAATATGATGTATAAATGCACTGAAATATAACATTGCACACCATAAATATGTACAATTGTTGTATCAATTATAAATTTAAAAATAAAACAAGAAAAAATATATCCTTGTTTCTCTGGCATTTAAAAACAAAGCTTGAGCATAAAAGAAAATGTTGCCGTCTCATCCTGTTGCTATCTCCCCCTGAAATTTTTCCATAATTTAATCGGTGGTATTATAACACAGTAGCACCATTATTTCCTAATAGTATAAAGTTCAGCTAGTTAGTACCATACAGACTTCGCTTTTGAGAGAGAAAAGTAATGATCTGAAGATACAGATTGCAGCAATCATACAAGTGAACTGTAATTTGAAGGCCTAAATACCACTGCTGTGAGCAGAAATAGGAGTTTTGCCTATGCCAATACTTTCTATTAAATGGGCTGAAGATTGCCTGACATACTCTTAAGAGTGCCAAATTTATTAATGAGGCAGTGTTGGGTATCTAAATGCAAATCAAAAACTCCCATTCTCCCCTCTCTGCCTGTACTTCTTGAGATGATTAAAAATAACCACTGCTTCTGAGTGACTGTCACTCAAAACTCTGTGCAGGATGCAACAGATGCAGGGCCCAGCAATGTTTTTAGACCATCAAGCATCGGCTCACTGGAAGGTGCTGAATAAATTAAACCACAAATATAAACCCCAGGTTGATGTGTTCGAACTTCTCAGCAAACATTCTTCATACATATTTAATTGCTCCATTGAGACTGTTACTGTTTGGAGAGGTTCCAGGCATTATTTCCATTCCATTAGTAAGCTTGCAGGGTGTCTACTTCTTAACCCAAAATGATTGATTCTATAAATGCCTTTCCACTGACTGACCTGGACGCTAATTGAGTTTGTGTATATATTAAAAGAAAAAGTGTGTTTTCAGAAAATGTTCAACATATATTGCTGTCACTTAAATTCCTTGTAGCAGGAGAAAGTGGCATGTCTAAATGATGACACTAAACATCTTATCTGAATTGGCTTTTTAAAATACAGTGTGCAGCAAATTAAGTTACAATGCTGGAAAAAAGCAGCGAAAAATACATTTTTCAAGGCAAAAGCAAACAGTCTTCTTTAAGAAGAGCATAAACATTTGTGGACATATTAATACCTTATTCTGGCAGCTTCCAATTCTCCTTGTGGTTAATGTATTTATTGTAAGAAAACATATAAATTTATTTTATTCTATTACATAAAAATAAAACCCAGAATATCTTATTATTTAGTTCTACTAGGGAGGGAAAACTAAATGTTTCTTAAGATCTTTTACAAACATATATCAAAATAGTAAAGTGTCCATTACTGTACTTGCAAAAATAAAACTCCTACCTTTATGCATGGTTCATAAAAATTAGATATACGTAAGTAATGTTAATGTAATATGACTCAGCTTGAGAAACTGAGCTTATAATTCTCATATTTATTTATCTCTTTGTTAGTCTGTAGATGCTGATCAAATTAAAATTCTTAATGCTCTAACCTAATTTAGAACAAGTAAAAGTAGTTTTTAAAAAATGGTGCATACAATAATTGTTTTGGATAATTCCCATACGGAGTTATTTTGATGCTATGTACATTGTATATAAAATGTATTTCTTTTAAATGGTCATTTCCAACCAATAACTGTAGGCTAATTTGGGATTATAGAAAGTTCTGTTTTCCTGACTGATTTTTTCCTAACAATCATTCTAATGTCCACCACAAGCACTCTCTTTAGTCATCTTACTATACTATCCAGAGTTCTCAGCAGCATTTTGTTAGTTGCTCCCTAAGCTTTTTCCTTAAATAAGTAAATTGAAAGAAATAAAAGGTATCCAAATAGGAAAGGAAGAAGTGAAATTCTTTCTGTTGATGACTTGATCTTATATATAGAAAATACTAAAGACTCCAACAAAAAAAAAAACGTTAGAACTGATAAATAATTCAGTTAAGTTGCAGGACATAAAATCAATATAAACATTAGTAACATTTCTGCATGCTAAAAACAAACTATTTGAAAAATATTTTAAAAAACAATCCCATTTACAATAGCATCAAAAATTAAAATGCTTAGAAGTACATTTAACCAGGAAGGTGAAAAATCTGTATGTTGAAAACTATAAAATATTGATGAAAGAAACTGAAGAAAAGACAAATAAATGGAAAGATATCCAGTGTTCATGGATTGGAATAATTAACATAGTTATAATTTCTATACCACCCAAAACAATCTACAGAGTCAAGGCAATTGCTACTATAATTCCAATGGCATTCTTCACAGAAAGAGAAAAAAAAACTCTAAAAACTCTAAAATGTGTATGGAATCACAAAAGACTCTGAATAGTCAAAGCAGTCTTGATCCAAAAGAACAAAGCTAGAGGTATCACACTACCTGATTTCAAAATATATTACAAGGTTATAATAATCAAAATAGCATGATACTAACATAAAATAGACACACCAACCAATGGAACAGAACAGACAGCCTAGGAATAAGCCAACCAATTTATAGTCAATTGATTTTTGACAAAGAAGACAAGAACATACAATAAGGAAATGCAGTATCTTCATAAGTGGTGCTGAGGAAACTGATACCAAAATACAGAAGAATAAAATTGGACCCTTATCTCACCTCATATACAAAAGTCAACACAGAGTGAGTTAAAGACTTAAACCTAAGACCTGAAACTATAAAATAATTAGAAGAAAACACTGAGGAAAAGATCCATGACATTGGTCTGGGCAATGATTTTTTGTATACGATCACCAGTTGCCTAAAGACAAAATAGACAAATGAGATGACATCAAATGAAAAGCCTACTGCATAGCCAAGGAAATAATCAACAGAATTAAAAAACAATCTGTGTAATGGAAGAATATATTTGAAATCAATATATTTGATAAGGGGTTAATGTCTAAAGTATATAAAGAACTCAAACTATTCAATATTAAGAAAAAAAAATCTGATTAAAAATGGGCAAAGGACCTGAACAGACATTTATCCAAAAAAGACAAACACATTAGTTTGCCTAATGTTGAATTGTTTTGTGTTGCTAGAATAAAAATTATTGGATTATGGGTGGAGAAAATACATACAAATGGCCAACAGATAGACAAAAAAAATGCTCAAAATCACTAACCATCAGGGAAATGCAAATTAAAACCGCAGTGAGACATCACCTCACACCTGTTAGAATAGCTATTATCAAGAAGACAAAAGATAAGTGTTGGTGAAGATGTAGAGAAAAGGGAGCCCTTGGACACTGTTGGTGGGAATGCAAATTAGTGCAGCCATTTTGAAAAACCATGTGAAAGTTCCTCAAAACACTAAAAATATAATTACCACGTGATCCAGCAATTCCAAGTCTGGATATATATACAAGAGTATTGAAATTAGTATGTCAAAGGTATATGTCACTCCCATGTTTACTGTAGCATTATTCACAATAGCTAAGATATGAAATCAACCTAAGTGCCCATCGATGGATGAAAGGATAAAGGAAATGTATATACATACAGCAGAATACTATTCAGCCTTAAAAATGAAAGAAATTCTGTCACTTGACAACATGGATGAATCTGGAGAACATTATGCTAAGTGAAATAAGTCAGGCGCAGAAAGACAAGTACTGCATGGTCTCACTCACTTATGTGTGGAATCTTAAAAAGTTGAATGTATAGAAGTAGAGAGTAGAAGATTGTTGCCAGAGGTGGGAGGGTGGGGGGTGGATGGGGAAAGAGAAGATGTCAGTCAAAAGGTTCAAAGTTTCAGTTAGGAGGAATAAGTTTTAGCGATCAGAATGGCACAGCACAGTGACTATAGTTAATAATAACGTATTTTATATTTCAGAATTTGCTGAAGGAGTTTTAAGTGTATCATCACAAAGAAATAAGTGTGTGAAATAATAGATATGTTAATTTGCCTGATTTAATGATTCTATGATATACGTGTGTGTATCATAGCACCACATTGTACCTCATAAATATATATAATTATTACTTGTCAATTAAATTTTAAAAAAGGATAACTGGTTTGAATGCATTTATACTTTAGTTATTATTTATTTAAAATTAGTATTTAATCTAATTTTTACATTTTCAGGAGTGTGTAAACTCTCAGGTATAGCTTTCTAATTGAGTCTGTTGTTAAAGTATACAAGATAATGACCTATTGACCCATTTCTAGATATTCTATAAAGACATTAGTTCTATTCTGACCTAAATCTGATAATGCTATCATTGAAAAGGTAACATACAAATAAATACAAGAGAGATTCAAAAATCAAAGATCAGTAAACAGGCAACCTACAGAACAGGAGGAAATATCTGTGAACTAGGCATTTGACAAAGGTATAATATCTAGCATCTATAAGGAACTTAAACAAATTTACAAGAGAAAAACAAACAACCCCATTAAGAAGTGGGCAAAGGACATGAACAGACATTTTTCAAAAGAAGACATACATGTGGCCAACAAGGATATGAAAAAATGCTCAATATCAGTGATCATTAGAGAAATGCACATCAAAACCACAGTGAGATACCACACAAGTCAGAATGGCTGTTAATAAAAAGTAAACAACACGTGCTCACGAGGTTGCACAAAAAAGGGAACACTTATACACTGTTGGTGGGAGTGTAAATTAGTTCAACCATTATGGAAAGCAGTATGGTGATTCCTCAAAGAGCTAAAAATGAAACTACCATTTGACCCAGCAATCCCATATATATAATACAGAATATAGAATATAATATATAGATAGACTATAATATATAGATAGAATATATCTATATGTATAGATATCTATATACATATATAATATGTATGGATATCTATACATATAGATATAATATAATATATATAGATAGAATATAATTCATTCTATCATAAAGACACATACACACAAATGTTAACTGCAGCACTATTCACAATGGCAAAGGCATGGAATCAACCTAAATGCCCATCAATGACAGATTGAATAAAGAAAATGTGGCACATATACGCCATGGAATACTATGTAGCCATAAAAAAAGAATGAGATCATGTCCTTTGCAGGGATGACGATGGAGCTGGAGTCCATTATCCTTAGCAAACTAACTCAGGAACAGAAAACCCAATACCACATGTTCTCACTTACAAGTGAGAGCTAAATGATAAGAACTCATGAACACAAAGAAGGGAACAAGACACTGGGGTCTACTTGAGGGTGGAGGGTAGGAGGAGGATGTGGAGTAGAAAAAAAATAACTATTGGGTACTAGGCTTAATACCTGGGTGATGAAAAAATCTGTACAACAAACCCCCATGACATGAGTTTACCTATATAACAAACCTGCACATGTACCCTTGAATCTAAAATAAAAGTAAAAAAAAAAAAGACAAATTATCTGGGAGTTGACTGGAAAACATGATGAGACTTGAGGAGAATGTTAAATATTCACAAAGAGATTTCTGAACTCCATGCAGAGCAAGAAGGAAGAAACAGAGCCACGTCAACCTTATTTTGTAAGTAACATAAACTTATTCTCAAATTTAAACAGGAAAGAGAAGAATAGCCAAGCAAATTCCGAAAAAGAAAAAATAAATGGGGACCATTCCTCCACATGTTAAAATATTTTATAAAGTTCCACTGATTAAAACAATTTAGTATGCATAGAAAGATTTTTAAAAATGGATCTATAGAGAAGACTAGGAAGTCCAGAGATTAGTATATAATGCCAATGATATATCAAAACTGTGGGGGAAGATGAATCATTCAACAAATTGTTGTGGGACTACTGTTTTGCCAGCTTTAAAATATCATGGCATGTTTCTTATCTCATAACATATGACAAATTCCAGATGGATCAGAGGCCTCAACACACAAAAATAAAGGCACAAAACTACCAAAAGAAACCAAAGAGAAAATGTTTTTCATAATCTTGGAGTAGGAGAGCGCTCTAATAATAACAAATTCTCGAAGTCATCAACAGAAAGGTTGATAGATTTGATCACGTAAAAATAAAATATTTCTGCGTGGCAAAAAATTGTCCACTATCACCAAATAATAAGAAAATTATCAATCTCATTCAAAGTAAGAAAAATACAAATTAAAACAACAAGGAATCACTATGTCTTTTTAATCTATCAAAGACAAGGATTAAAAATTTTGATATTATACTGTTTTGGTAAAAGTGTCTGACAAAGCCCAAATTATCAGATATGGTCAGCCCTTCTTATGTGCAGGCTCCACATCTGTGGATACAATTAACATCAGATCAAAAATATTTGGAAAAAAAGCATAAAAAAAAAACACAATAAAAAATAGTACATCTAAAAAACCAATAAAGTATAACAACTGCTTATATTGTGTTTTACATTGTATTAGATGTTATACATAATCTAGAGATGATTCAGAGTGTAAGGGAGGATGTGCATGGGTTATATGCAAATACTAGGGCATTTTATACAAGGGACTTGATCATTCATGGATTTTGGTATCCACAAGGGCTCTGAAACCAATTCACACGGATAACAAGGGAAGACTCTAATCCAATGCATGATTCAATAGTGGGGAGATTTGGTACAACTTAGAAAAGCAATTTGTCAACACCTATCAAAATTAAAAATGCATATCCCTTTGGCCCAAGAGCTAAATTTCTAGGAACATACATATAGCTTCATTCAACTGTGAAATAATATATGTAAATTGATATTCACTGCAAACATCTGAAAACAACTTAAATTGGTATTAATAGGGAAGTGGCTTAATAAATTATGTTTTTTTCTATAAAATGTGGAAAGGTCTCCAAAATATATCATTAAATGAAAAGGGTTGTGCAAAACAGTCTCTATGATATACTCCCATATTTATATACAAGAAATAAAAAAGCATTAACATAAACATATGTCTATAAATACATACACACACAAACATATACATACCGATTTCTTAAGTGATACAAAAGAAATTAGCCACAGTTTCTGGGAAGAAGTCGTGGGTAACTGGGAGATAAGGAGAGGATAGCAAAGACCACCAATTGTTGCAATATCTGTTCCCTCTTCTTCCTTAGAACAGAACACTTGATTATTCAATAAGTGTGTGGCAGTCACACCAAGGGCAGGCATGTGACTAGATTTGAGCCAACAGGGTATAAATGAAAGTCATATGTGCAACTCTTGGGAAATGGCCTTAAAAGGAGAAAGAGACATGTTCCTTTCATAATCACCTTCCTTCTTCCTACAACCTGGAATGTGAAGATTCAAACTGGATTTCAAGCATCTACTGTGACCCATAAATTAGAATGGCAAAGATAGCAGTGCAGCAAAATATAAGGAGGTTGGGAATCTATAAATCATGCAGCAGAATACATGGCTCAATTCTGAACTTTTTAAAGGTCACTGTTGCTGATAGGTTTCTGTCACTCTCAGTTAAATGGAATGCTAATATAGCAGGGCAGTCACTTTTACCCAAATACCTTTTAATTTCATCTGATCTTTTTTCATCTGCATGCATTTTCTATTCAAAAGTCATTTCTGTAAGTTATTAAATAATAGAATATGTTACTTTATCAAATGGAAAGCAGAAATTACCAGTATTTATTTGGTATATATCAAAAATGATCTTTACAACTGAAATTTAAAAAAAAGTCATATGAGGTAGTATCTCAGCCACTTATAAAGATAAAGAGGAAAATAGCAACTATCTTTTTTTTATAACACTCTTTAGTGTATGAGAGCATGTGTATGTGTGCATGTGGGCATATGACTATATTTTGTGATATTAAATATCTGGCATATAAATTGTCATACTGGTACCATTGACAACTGTTGATAGAAAAGATGCTACAGGCGTGAAAAGCATCAAATGTCCTAATTTCCATTGTATACTTCTGAAAACAATATTCTGGTAAATTTGATACCTCTCATTAGAAAGTTTCTATAACTGAATACTGAACAAATTTGGACTATTTTGAATGAATATTGAGATCGCTAAGAACCAACATGGGTTTAAGAAGAGAAAGGCATACAAAAATAACAATTTCTGTGCTGCTAAAAGGTTTAATCTTGATAAATAAGAGGAATATTGTGACAGGAACATCTTAATTTCAGTGTATTTGATAAAATTTTCTGATAGAACAATCCTTAATGCCACAGGTACAGTTGTAGCTTGTTGAATTACCATTCCCAAAAAGTAACAAATAGTAAGAGTTATGCTGTATACTTGCTGGGAGAACTAATAAGTTGCCAGATCTGTGTTCGATCTTGTTCTGTTCAACATTTTCACCCATTATTTGAATACACACTGAGAAGATACGCTTATGAAATTTGTGACTAATAAAAAGTTGAGAAACATAATACCGTGAAAGACAAAATCACAAAGCGGATTGTGACAAGCTAGAAATTATACTCTGAACCTAGAATAAATAAGGAAATATATTTAACAAAGGCAAATTTAAAACCCTACACTGGGATTGAAAAATGGAGAAACCTATATTAATGCAGATATTTCTGACAATAAGCTCAATTTAAATGCACAATGTGCCATGATTGTCACAATAATCTAAAGCAACTTCAGGCAGAATTCAAAGAAATACAGTATCAAGCACAAAAGATAATGAAGAAAAGAAGAAGAAAAGATCACATGTGGTATACCATGATCAATTGAGTGCATTTGTCTTAAAAGATAAGTTGATAAAAATTTTTAATCAACTAGTTGAAACCATTTGAGTTTGTTAGTTGAATCCAGCATTGAACTGGTTCTTTGAACTCCACAGATGGGTAAAAGAAAAATACCTTTGTCTTTACATGCTATAAGAATTCCCGTTAAGAAGGGAGTTGCAACTGGGTTGAGTTTTGTTGTTGTTGTTGTTGTTGTTGTTTAGAGACAGGGTCTTGTTATGTTCCCTAGGCTGGAGTGTAGTGGCTATTCACAAGCACGATAATTGCACACAACAGTCTTGAACTCCTGGTTTCAAGCCATCCTCCTGCCTCACGCCTCACCCTCCCAAGTAGCTGGGACTACAGGCACACATCACTGTGCCCAGGTAGGTTGAGTTTTTTCATAGCGATATATGTATAAAATCCCTCGATTTAGTAAAAATGAAACACATTAGTAGCCTGGTTCTCCCCTCCCTCCTTCCTTCTATTTTCCCTTCCATAAAGTTTTACTGAGAGTTTACTATTATGTACAACTAAACCAACATTTAACATACAAAAATCAGTTTGAAAGCTCTTCTCCTTATGTACTTACAATATTTGTAAAGATACTTCACACGAAACTGGTTCATTAAGTAATGCTTCACCCTCTTTCCTATGCTCAACTCTTTTAACTTTTCTAATAAATGTTTTGTTGTTTTGTTGCAAAACACACAGACACTTCTTATCTGTAATTTCCTCACAGTTTTTAAGAGATGTGAGAATTTAATCATTTCAATGGTGAAGTCAAAGCCATGATGATATGTAAGAAAGAATTACTTTCATGGCTCTTTTTTCTCATGATTCTATTAATGAGTTTTAGTGTCCTAAAACTCTTCACACAGCAGTGCTGAATAAATGTCTGCAGATATAACTGTTTTATTGAGTATATTCTCAATGCATACAAAAATAATATTTCTCTACATGCATAATGCAAATGCATTAACTTATTTTCAACTGATACTATTTCATCTGTGCCCTGATGTAATAGGGCATTCATTCATTTATTCAACAGATATGTATCTAATACCTATTATATGCCATGAATTATATCAGATAATGATGATTAAACAATCAAAAATAGCTATAGTCCCAGTTTTGTTTTTTTTTTAATTGAGACAGGGTCTCACTCTGTCTCCCAGGCGGGAGTGCGGTGGTGGGATCTCGGCTCACATCAACCTCCACCTTCTGGGTTCAACCAATTCTCCTGACTCAGCCTCCCAAGTAGCGGGGATTACAGGTGCATGCCACCATGCCCAGAAAATTTTTGTATTTTTATTAGAGATGGTGTTTCACCATGTTGGCCAAGCTGGTCTTGAACTGAGATCAAGTGATCTGCCTGCCTCGGCTTCTCAGAGTGCTAGGATTACAGGCGTGAGCCACCATGCCTGGCCTATAGTCCCTGTTTTAAAGGAGCTTGCAGACTAATGGGGGGTATATAAACAAGTGTAAATTACAATGTAGAATATGTGCTGTAATGGAAAGAATTATATTCTATGAAGGTAAAAAAAAAACCTATTCGAACAACGTCCGGGGGCTTCAGAAGCCTTTACTGAAGAAATGACGTCTGTCACATCTCAAAGAATAAGAAAAACTAAGCAGATGAAACGTGACTGTTTTAATCAGATGTATCTTGAAACTTCTGCTTCAAGTAATGGGGAACTAGGAAACAGATCAAACCCCTTGCTGAAAAACTAAAAAGCCTGCAAAACATATAGAAAGAATATTCTTTAAAAGCATCAAAGAGCTAACAAGGTAGTGAGGTATTACTGGCCTTGCAAGGAAGCCTAGTTCTGCTTGGAAGGGACCTGCTAACTCTGATTTTAGCAACCTTGAACCGCTCATGATTCAAAATGAAAGCTGAATTATCCACAAGGGTAGGGGCTCTGATAATTCCTTCCTGACTTTAAGTTGGGAGCATGAAAGACTACATCCTTATGACAGGTGAACTTTGAATAAAGTGGCCCTTGCGTGAACTCCCATCCCAGCTTTATTACTTCATTCTGGGTTGTTCATGATGCCTCAAGCCTTGAACTTGTATTGACGAAAATCTGTAGCATCTAGCAAAAGAAACAAAAACCTACTCTGAAAAAGAAGCTATCCTCTTATGCCTGAAATTACCGCTATAAAGTGTTTTTAAAATATAAACCGCCTATTATAGGGCCAGTGATAACTGGGTATGCAAGAAAACAAAATATCAACACTGAGAACCAATAGAAACATTCACTCAAAATGTTCAAATATTAGAATTTGCAGACAAACTATTTAAACAACCACGCTTATTATATTCTAAGAAAGAAAGTCAAGAAATAAAAATTCAGTTTTAAAATTTCAAGAAGGAGATAAAACTTTTTAAAGGATATGGCAGCTTTGACAAAAACACAAATAGAAATTCTAGAAGTAAAAAACAATGGCTGAAATTAAGAACAGGTTTAAGAGAAGAAAAGAAAACTAACTAGAAATAGGCTAGGAGAACCTATTGAAAGCATAGCATGGAGAGACAAAATGTTAAGAGGGGAGAAATCAAAGGAGAGTGTCAGAGAATAGGGCATACACAAAGAAGGCTTAATATGTATTTAACTGGCACCTCAGATAGAAAAGTGGAAGAGAATGGCACAATGGCGCTCTCTCTCTCTCTCTCTCTATATATATATATATATGCTAGAAACTAAAACATTTCTAAAACTGAGGAATGAAAACCAATCTACTATTTCAATAATCCCAAGAAATCACAAGAATGATAAATAAAATTTTCAGAAAATTCACATCTAGGCATGCCATTATAAAAGAGAAAGACCAAAAACAGAGAGTAAATGTCAAAAGTAGCTACAGAGAAAGGACAGACTAAGCGGCCATCTCCTTAACAGAAACAATGGAAACCAGAAGAGAGTGAAATGATGTCTTTGAAATGTATATTCAATATGTTTAATGTAAAAAAGAATTTCAAGTTAGAATACTATAGTCAGCAAAATATTCTTCAAGATTAGAATTCCCAAATACAGACTACCTTGGAATGACTATAGACTATAAGATTAAAGTAAGACATTTTCAAGGAAACAATACCTGGGAATTTGTAACTAACAGACCTGTACTTTAAGGAATAATAAAGAACTTACTTCAAGCAGAAGGAATGATGGAAAATGATCCCAGAGACAAGTTAATGGATGAAGAAAAGAATTAAAATAAAAGAAAGCAAACTGGAAGAAGGGAAAATAAGTGAATGTAAGACTTTAATAAGTTAAGGATACATTTTTAAAAATTCTTATATTAAAGCAGAGTTTATAACTTTTATACTGATAGGGGAGTATAAATGCAAGTGTGGAAAAACACTGATCCAATCAAAAACATCAAAAAAGGTAAAAATTAAAATACAAATTTAGATGATAGATTTAAATCCAAGTATATCAGTGTTTACATTAAATGCACATGGGCCAAATGTCCCAGTCCAAAAAAAAAAAAGATTTTCAGATTGTTTCTAAAAATCTAACTGTGCATTTAACAGGAAACATTTAAAACGTAAATATCCTAAATGATTGAAAGTAAAAGAGTAGGCAAAATGATACCCATGACAACAAAAGAAAAAGGGTGTTTCTATATTAATATCAGACAAAACAGACTTTAAAGTCAAAAAAATATATCTAGAGAGAGTACGAAGAGAATCACTTCAAAATGACAAAAAATGATGGCTTACAAATTCTATGCACCACTTAAGATGTCCTCAAAATACTAAGAAAAATTATTAGCATAATAAGAAAAAATGGACTCCATTACTATTTGAGGGTTTTAATACACTTACATGTAGCTCTCAGTAACTAAAAGAAGTAGACACATAAAAATGGTAAAAATATAGATGAATTGAACACAGTTAATAAACATAACCTAATGGATACATAGAAAACATGTACTCCCAAAATACAGAATACACATTTTTAAACATATCAGGAGATTTTCAAAAAGTGATGATATATAAAGAGATATAAAGTATGTCTTGACAAATTTCAAAATGTTGAAATTACACACAGTATATAATCTAACACAATTTAATTATGCCAGAAATAAATAATAGATAAGTAAACAATGCTGATATGTAACTAAAGTAATACTTAGATACTGAAATGCATATATGAAAAAGAAAGTATGCCTGTGAAGTAATTATTTCAGTATTCACTTCAAGGTATAATGAAAAGAAACAGCAAAAAAAATGTAGGAAATAAGGAGAATTAAAAAAGAGCAGAAATTAAGAAAATAAAGAAACATGCAATAAAATGAATCAACAAAGACCAAGATTAGTTTATTTAAATGAATAATTAATTTGAAAAACTATAGAAAATAATAATGAAGAAAAGAAGCACACATAACCAATATTAGGAATGAATGATAAAAAAGCCATCACTACAAATCCTGCAGACTCTAAAGATACTAAGAGAAAATTAAGAACAACTTCATGCAATAAATTTGAAAATGTAGAAAAAACTGGACAAATGCTGAAAAAGGTATAATTCATCAAAACAAACTGAAGACAGAAATAGAATATGACTATATATCATCCTCTAACAACTAAAGAAAATGAATAATTAATAAAGAAAATTTCTCATAGAAAAAGCTCTTGTCCCAAATGCCTTCATTGAGTTATACCAAATATTCAAGAAATCAATAACTATTTTTATACAAACCCTTCCTGAGAAGGAAAAGAGTATACAATCCCCAACTGATTTTATGATGCCAGCATAATCGGGATAGAGACACAAGGATAGTGCAAGAAAAGAAAAATAGAGGCCAATATCATATATGAACCTAGAGGCAAAAACTCTTAAGAAATATTGGCAATTGAATCTAGCAATATATGGAGAGTAAGATGCAAGATTACTAAATTCTGTTTATACCAGATTATGTAGGTTATTTTAATATTAGGAAATTAACATACAAGAATGTTCATAAATGCACTGTTAATAATCACAAAAACTTGAAAGCATACTACATGCTCTTCAAAATGAGAACGAATAACTTGCATATATTCACCTAATAGAATTTTATTCAGCAGTCAAAATCAATGAATTATAGACAAAGACACTAATGTGATAAAATTTGGCAATATAATATCACGTGGAAAAGAAAATGCCACTATGATGCCTTTTCATAAAGATAAATAAAAATGAAAGATACAATAAAATATTTTTAAAGGAAAATAAATATTTTGGATGATTTTTGCTTTGGTAGGCAGGGAATGAAGGTAAATGTCAATTATTGTCAGTGATGTAGCTATTGTTTTGCATGTCAGTGCCATACATATTTAACATATTATTGGAAATAGTTAACCAAGTAATTAAACGTGACCATGAATGAACTAGAGAAGAAACAGCTTCCTGAATCAAGGATTATGATTAATCTAATTCTGTGTACTTGAGTTTCAAAAAAAAATTAAGAAAAAGAAAACAAGAAAATAAATAAATGTGATTTACTATATTAACTGAAATATATATGATCATATGATTATTTCCACAGATGCAGAAAATCATTGTATGAAATTCAACATCCATACATAATAAAATTCTAAGCAAACTAGAAATGGAGACAACATTAAGCTGATAAAGGTAAACTATGAACTCTCTGCAAACATCATACTTAATAAAGACTTTATTGAAATAAGTAACAACTCAACTCTTCTCATTTCAAGTGTTGTTTGGGTGGTTTTAACCACCACAATAAGGCAAGACAGAGAGAGAAAAGATAAAAGAACTGAAAACAGTGAAAACAAAGCTGTCATTCACAAGAGATATGATATTAATAAGATCAAAAATAAACTGCATATAAATCATTAAAATTAGTATAATAATTTAATAAGCTTGCTGGCTACAAAATCAATATATGAAATTTGAGTGGATTCTTATGTACAAAAGTAAGAAAGAAAACTATTAAAAAAAACTATAACTCACAATAGTATTTAAAAATACCAAGTGCTAGTAATATTTCAAACACGTCTATTGAGAACATATTGTTTACTGAGAAACAGTAAAGAAGACACAAATAAAGGAATATGTAATTGAGAACATGATATTGTTTACTGAGAAACATTAAAGACACAAATAAAGGAATATGTATCAATATTCAGAGATTGGAAGGTTCATAATTCTTAAAATGTGAATTCTTCACAAATTGATCTATAGTCTCAATAAAATTGTAGTCGAAATTCCAATTTTATTGTGGAAATTGACATGCTGATTCATAAAGTTAAATGGAAAAATTCTTAAAGTTAAAAATAAAGAACCAAAGAATTATGAAGATACTCTTGAAGAAGCAGAGCAAAGTGGCAGGAACTACTTCAACATATATCAATAATAAATGTGCAGTAATTAAGAGAATGTGATATTGGTACTGAGTAACTAGGCCAATTAAAAAATAGACCCACAAATAAATGTACATTATATGGCAAAGGTAGCACTGCAGACCAGTGGAAAAAAAATAAACTTTTCCATAAATGGTTGTGGGACAATGGTTTATCTATATAAGAAAAAATAAAAGTTTACTTCTGCTGCAACCACTTAACACCAGTTGGATTGTAGACTTAAAAAGCAAAGCAGTAAGCTTGGAAAATAATACAAAGAATATCTTAATAACTTTAGAACCTTTTTGTTCTTAATAAAACACTAAAAGTTACTAAAGTTTAAAAAGTTGACTATATTATAATTAAGAAATCATGATCAAAAAATAAAAATAAAGAACAGCAAATGTTTATTTACATAATACTTCCTAGGTTTCAGGCACTCTTTTTACTGCTTTATATAGGTTAAGCAACAACCATGTGAGGTAGGACTACTACTATTCTCATTTTTACAGAAGAGGCATGGAGAAGTTTAATGACTTACCAAAGTTCAAATTGTTAAGGGAGATAGAGCCATTATTTGAATCAGACAATTTTGCATCAAAGTTTATGCTTTAACCCATAAGAAGAGTAAAAAGACCAGGTACCAAATGAGCACCATATACAACTGACAAGGAATTAGCATGCAGAAAATATTTAAAAACTCTTCTATTATGAAAATACATATAAACCAATGGAAACATGGGCAAGAAACTTGAACAGGCACTTCAGAAACAAAGATTTTTAATGGTCAATACAATAATCAGGGGAATACAAATTGAAGCCATAATGAGATGTTACTGAACAACCACCGGATTGGCTAAAATGTAAGTCTATAAACATTAGGTGAAGGAAACGGGTAGAACAAAGATAACTTTCATACACTAATTGTGGGGGTGTAAAGTGATATTCCAGAAAGCTGTAGAGATTATCTAGTGAAGGTGAAAATATGTATCTCTCCTTTACTCCTGAATATACATATTCTAGAGTTATGGGGATACCCATCATCCAAGAGACATGTATGCAAGAATGATCCTGAAGACATTATTTCTAATAGCTAAAAATGGGAAATAGCTAAAATGCCCATCGAGAGGAGAATGGATTTTTTTAAAGGCTATGTTCATACAATGTAATACAATGCAATAATGAAAACGAAACTAGAGATACACTCTAAAACATGTATAAACATTACAAACATTATTATGAGTGAAAAAAGGAAAACACAGAGTGTGGTTATTTATTTCAAAAAGAGGAAGAATTGAACTGTATTGCTTGGGAATGCATGTGCAATTGGTGAAATGATAAAGAAAAGCAAGGAAATGATCACCACAAAGCCTGAATAAGTCCTTGGAGTGGAAGAAAGGGGATAAGAAGAATGTAATATAAAAGAGAATTGGAGGAATCTGGAATGTTGATGACATTTTATTTCTTGGCAGTAGAGGATACACAGGGGTTCACTTTGTAATTACTCATTATATAGTACATTGTGTTTAAATCTTTTTAACACATGTGTGTATGTGTGTATGTGTGTTTTATTTCACAATTTTTAAAAAGAACACATTGTAAGTGCTTCAGGGAGGAGGGATAAAATATTCAAAGAACCAAAGGCAAGTGACAATGTTCAGCCATCTAGGAATTAAAGAAATGTATTATCTCTAGAGCAAAGAATGTCAAAGAGAATTGTAGGTGGAAAGTGACAAGGAATGAAGCTAAAGGCCCAAGAAAAAAGACGCATAATATCAGCTTTGAGATTCTATTAAAATGTTTGGAAGTTATAAGAGCACAGGGGAGCCAATTGATGATTGTAAATAGGGAAGTACCAAAATAAAATTTGTGTTTAAGACATTTTGATCTGTCTTTTAGTGAAGAACAGAAGAGCCTTTACTAAGAGGAAGAAAGGATGTAGGCAGGATGATAAGTAAGTTGGCTGTTGATGTTCTTCAGGAGAAAGAGGGTGAGAATCTGAACAAGGAAATGGCAGGGAGGATAGCAAATAGCTGATTCCACAGTAATGAAAAGAAAGAAAGGAAGAATTTTAAGGACCTGATTGGATGTAGAGGTGAAAAATGGAAAACAAAGTTAAATGAATGACATTGCCATTTCAGAGAGAGAGAGGTGGAGGGGAAGAGGGAAAAGCAGAATTGAGAGGAAAATAGAGTTCCCTTTTGGGTACGTATTTTCAAACCAAGCTAATTTGATCACCATTCAAAAGCAGGAAATAGAAAATATCGAGGGGTCAGCCCCTCTACTGACTGACTACATAATATTCAGCAAGTCACGAACCACTCTAAGCCTGTTTCCTTATGTATAAAACTGGGAAAACAGTATTATTTCACAAAGTTCATGCTCTGATTAAACGAGTCAGTAAAAAAAATACCATACTGAGGTCATAATAGGGGCTTGACTCAGGAATCTGAATCTGAAATGAAGATAATAGGTTGCTTTTACATAACGTGTGAGAAAACACACCATTAGCATATACATCAGAAATGTGACTGCAGAGCTCACAAAACTGAACAAGAGGATTTTTAAAATGCAAAGTTAGTTTGGTTTATGTTATTTTTATAAGCAAATGTTCCCACTGATTTGTGTGCTTAATGAAGTTCTATATTAAAATTATTGGAATAAAGAGAAACATTTTTCCCCAAAGCCCATGCATGTAATCTATAACAAATTTTCTTCCAATGTAGTTAAAGCTAACACTTGTTAAATGCTACAGATTAATTATGGCTCCCAAAGGATATCTTAAACAGGGGAATTGGTGGAAATACAAGCATATCTATTGTCTCTATCAGCTTTACAAAGCAAGGAGGCAAATGAGAGGGAAAGTCTTCCAGAGATTAGAAGAAGTCAAAAGATGGTTTCTAGAAAGGTGAGAAGTGGGGCAAAGAGAATCTAGAAGTGAATTGTTCCAAAATCCCTGGGCAATGCACATAAGCTGTGCTGTGTGTCTTTTCCTGTAGCATGGTACATTTACCTGGACCCCATGAGCACATGTTCCCCTCTGGCAGCTACTGTGGAACTGTGATCACATCTCAACTAATGGGAGGTCATAGTGGGGTGACTCTGAGGTAAAAATGGTCTTAACTAAGCTAGGACACTTCATTAATATCTCTAACATGATGTTTAATAGGCATCTCAATCTAACATGTAACATTTCATTGCTGGGACCAGAAACCTTGAAGCTCAAACATTTCTCCCCATTTCATTCTCTGATAATCAACTAATTTGGCATCATAACTTGGGTGGCTAGCAGGCATCTGTCCAAAGAGAAATCTTGATCCTCTTCTCCCAACCTGCTCCTCCACCAGTTTTTCCATCTCTAAATGGCACTATTACTAGATGCTCAAGGCCACAAGTTAAGTCATCTTTGGAGATAGCCTCTTTCCATTCCTCCTCATGTCTATTTTCCCTATAAGACATGTTCCAAATCTATGTACATCTCTCCACCTGTACCACTGCCACTTTCGTCCAAGCCAACATCCCTGTCTTGCCCAGATCCCTGTTTATTGTACTGCCTTCCTATAATCCATTCTCCATACAGCAACTAGAGCAATCATTTTATAAAGTTGCCTAAAATTTCACAATGGGTTTCTGCTACACCCTGTGTGTGGCCCACAGGCTCCACACCACATCTTGCCCACTACTTCTTGGACTGACCATATCTCAAATGACCCTCCACCTTTTTCACTTCCTATAGGATA
This sequence comes from Homo sapiens, assembly GCF_000001405.40. Classification (NCBI taxonomy): domain Eukaryota; kingdom Metazoa; phylum Chordata; class Mammalia; order Primates; family Hominidae; genus Homo; species Homo sapiens. Next base: position 44,228,769 of record NC_000012.12, on the reverse strand, counting down.
TGCTGGCCTTTTTTTCTATTCTTGGAACATGCCAAGCATATCCCCACCCAGAGCCTTTGCATTAACTATATACTGCACTTGGGATGCTTTGTCCTAGACCTTCACATGGCTCATTCCTTCCAGTCATTCAGTTCTCTGATTAGGTATCCATGGGAATTTTCCTGGCTCATAATTTGAAGTGGTCTCTTCAGATCACCACATTGCTTTATCTTCTTTATGACATATGCCATTATGGGATTTATTGATTGACTGGTGATCTTTTATTTATTTAGGTCTGTATAACTCCACCAGAATGTAAACTGCAGGTCCTGACAGAAGGTACTTTATCTGTTTTTTCCACATATGTTCGATACCTCAAATAGTCACTGACACCTAACAGGTAAAAACTATTTGTCAAATTTATAATTAGGCCCCTCACATACAAAATGTCAGCAAAGTTTTCTTTCCAAAACATTTCTAGAATCTATCTACTTTTTTTCATGTCCTCTGTTTCCTTTATAGTTCAAGTCACCATGATCTCTCTCGGGGTGACTGCAATGCCCTCTTTCCTAATTGGTCTTCTTGCTTCCCTCAGCAGCCAGAACAATCTTTAAAAATGTAATTGAAATCATATTGTGCTTCTATTTAAAACTGTCCATCACTTCCTATCTCTCTTAGAACAAAATTTTTTCACCTGAGATGATCTAACCTCTGACTGCTGCCAACTCTCCCCTATCACTCCCTCCCTCCCAAACCCACCCTACCCTTAACCTCCAGGTTTTGTGTCTCTCTCTAAGTCATCTTGTCAATTAAACTTTCTGGATCTCACGTTCTTCAGCTATAAAAATAGTAGTTCTGGAAAGGCATAAGATGCTCCACAAACATTTAGTAGCCACATGCTGTGTGGCAGAATCTATCCTGGGCCTTGGGAAAAGAAATCTAAACAGGCTTAGTCACTGCCCTTGAGGAGATCAACATGTGAAATAAACAACTACAGTGCCATGAATGCTGTAAGACAGGGACTTGAAATCACATGGTGCTGAGTCTATTGGAGGAGCCTGGGAAGGCTTCACAGAAGCAGAGACAATGCTCAAAAAGGACCTTTCTACATTGTAAAGCACTATGAAAATGCGACATATATAAAATAAAATTATTGTTCAAATATAGAAGTATGAGATTTCTTTTCAGTAAAGTTTGTTCTGCCTTACCACATGATTAGGCAGAAAGAGCTGTCTAGCCAACCCCAAAACCCATTTTGTTCCAACTTGCAAGTAAAATCAAATAATCCATTTTCTTGCTTTTGTAAGTGTAATAGACTACATATGACAGAATCTTTTTTGAGACAGGGTCTCTCTGTCACCTAGGCTGGAGTGCAGTGGCATGATTTCAGCCTCAACCTCCAAGGCTCAAGTGATCTGCTCACCTCAGCCTCCCAAGTAGTTGGGACTACAGGTACATGCCACCATGCCTGGCTAATTTCTGTAGAGATGGGGTTTTGCCATGTTGTCCAGGCTGGTCTCAAACTCCTGAGCACAAGCAATCTGCCTGCCTTGGACTCCCAAAGCAGGGTGAATCTTTTCTTTCATGACTGCAAATAATAAAGTTCCCAGGGTCATGTTTTTGCAAATCAAGTTACTGCTATGACCCTGTAATGCAAATAGTGAATATGTGGGAATTAAAGCATAACAAGTCCAATCCTAAGCCATGTCTTGAGCCAAAGGCATGCAGGTCCTAGAAATTGCCTTTGTGAAAATCCATGAAATGAAGTTGTGCTTGTATTTCTTGACTCCTTATTTAAAAAAAAAATTGGTTGCTTTGGCGATTGGGATTAATTGGGCCAATTTTTATTGTATTTATATTACACATGTATATGAGCCTGCTAGGGCTGCTCTAACAAAGTACCACAGACTAGATGCCTAAACAACAGATCTTTATTTTCTCTCCATTCCAGGGGCTAGAAGCCTCAAATCAAGGTGTTGGCAGGGTTGGCTTCTTCTGAGGCCTCTCTCCCTGGCTTATAGATGGCTGTCTTTGCCCTGTGTCTTCACATAATCTACACTCTGTGTGTGTCTGTATCCTAATTTCACCTTCTTATACGGACACCAGTCATATCAGACTAGGGCCCACTCTAATGGCTTCATTTTACCTTATCACCTCTTTGAAGTCCCAACCTCCAAATACAGTTACATTCTGAGGCATTAGGACTTCAACATGTGAATTTGGGGGATATAAATTCAGCCCATAACAACATGTATATTATATGTGTACACACACACACACACACACACATATATATATTTATATTTATAGTTTATTGGGATATAAATGAGGTAAACTCTCCCTACTTCAGGATAGATGAGAAGCTATGATACTGAACCCAGAGGTCTAATGGTTATTATACCTTATTTAAAAGAAATAATTAATTCTATCACCATGCTATTTCAAGGGCATTTCTGGTGACCTTTATCTCTGCCCCAGTGATCCCATTCTTATCCAGAGAGATGACTTCTCAGTCAATAACCACTTACATGGAAAAGATGGCCATGAGACCTGAACAGATTGTGAAACAGGTGCAAGAAGAAAAATTTCTAAATAAATAGTGGTAGCAATTCTGCCTGGTTCTCTAAGAAATCATGGTGGTTCCCCCAAAGGGGGAAAATGTTTTCCTCAGGAGCTGTATTAATTTTTGCTATTTATTTTATTAAACAGTTAGAGCGCCATGTAAATGTAGAGTCTATAAGCTGCATGATGGGGCGAAATGAACATGTGTATGGGTGTTTAAAACTGTTTTTGCGACGTTAGTCAGATAAATTGAGTTTCTTCCTCATACAACAGTGATTGTAACATCTATCTCACAGGGCTGTTACAAGTTAAGTGTGAGTATATATTTAAGGCACCAGTCTTAGTAGAGAGTCTCAGAGATGTTAGTACCCTTCCTTCTCCAAACCCAGTCCAGTAACTTTAATCCACTGTGGACACAAATTTGTTAAATAATACTTCCATAGTGCAGAAAATCATGGACAGCTTAACTGGAATCTGCTACAGCGAGGACGGATTTATAAGAAGCAATGATGCTAAGTGTCCAATTCATTAACCTCAGAGACCTGCAGTTGGCATTACCATATTTTACATTAAAAAATATACTGTGGTAAAGTCACTGATTAAGATGTTTATATACTAAAATTGTTTAATGGGAAAAATGATAAAAGTATCTTCATATAATGTAGGTGTGAAATTAGAATTCAGATTATATGATTCTATATGTAATCATCTTATGCTAAAAGGAAAAAAATCCGTTCATTTATTCATAGAGAAAAAAACATACTAAATTGCCTTTGATAGTTTCAACCTTGGCAACATGCTGTTCTTTTAATTCCAGAAACTGTATCACTGCACTATTTTTGCAATGCAACTGCGGTAATTCAGATGTATGCCAAGTACATTTTAATGTAGTTTCATGGCAGTTTCTTGGCTCATCATTTCCTCTCTGTGATACTCAAATTTCATTTCATTAAGCACTATGTTACTTCATGGTATATTACAAGAGAATCCCAGCCAACTATATTTTAGAAGTGTGAGGGGAAACCTAAAAGTTGTATGTTCTTTCTCAACTGAATAAAGTATACTAAGTATTTTTCTTTGACATATAGTCTTTGTTCCTTTCTTTACCCCAAATTGCCACTCTAACATGAAGACACATAAAAATACTGTATCAAGAAAATGCAGCATTCAGTGATTCTCATCAAGACTGCAAGTATGAATAAATCATGCATATCTACAGGCACTGAGCTCAGCATTCTCATTCCTTATGGAAGGGGAAAAGGGCAGATGCTGCATAGAAGCCTGGAGTTACTGTGGTCTCTCTACCCCAGGCTTTCCAGACGCGGCTTTGGGGAGGTTGGGAAGAGAGCTGAGGAAGACTGAAATGAATGGGCTTGGGGAGAGCAAAATTATGGTGATTTTTTTAAATTACCAGTTTACCATACAATGACACCTGCACTCACTGATTTCTTATAGCAAAATCTCATTGCCTCTGGGGTAGTTTATTTACTAAAAGGGTATTCAAAAGCAAAACCTGCTTTACAGATCAAGCGATTGGGGGACCACACTTACATGGCGATAGAGTTTCAGAGACAAAAAATAAGCTCCCAGTGACTTTCACATCCTGCTTCACATGCTTTCCAATACTTGGCATTTTGCCAAAGGTAATTTCCTTTTATATTAACATGAAGGAGGAGGAGGAGGAGGAAGAGAAGGAGGAGAAGGAGGAGAAGGAGAAGAAGAAGACAAAGAAAGCAAAGAAAAACTAAAAAAAAAAAATCATTACTCATCCCTGGTTCCCCTTTGTGCTAGAGTTGGCACAGATGAAGGATGTAGAGAAGAGTCATCAATGAATCTGCAGATTAAGTATAGATGGGACAAAAAGGTCTAATTTAAAGAACTTGTATATTTTGGGTTCTTGGGCAGATTAACAAATAAAATCTCTAACGCCTAATATTGATACAAAGATGTATAGATAAAAGATGGTCTTGCATGGGCTAATACTAAAACTGTAGTGAATCAAGGCTTATAATCAATCCAATATATGTTTGTATGTGCATGCTTGGGTGTGTGCATATATGAGGTTGTGCATGTGTGTGTGTGGGTGTGTGTAAGAGAATCAAGGCAGAGACAGGTAAACATGGGATGAGAATGAAGTTAAAGGTCTTTTCTTCATATTAGAAGGGAAGCTATAAGGGCTAGGACATGGTGGGGAAGAATGTTTACCAAAAAAGGAGAGTACAGTAAAAGCCCACACAGAGTTAATAAAATATGGAAGCGCAGTAGATTGACAGCCAGGATGATGGATCACATCCCAGAAATTCTTTATCTTCTGGAAGGGCCAAGCCAATTGGCAGAACGAGGCAAACAATTATACTTTTCAGAAGCTTCTCTTGGCAGCTTTGGTATTTTTGCTTATCATTGACCTGAATTTCTGTTTTTTGCATTGGTTTGCTTTAGGACCTCACAAGTCAGCCTGTATAAGCTCTGGTTGGCTGAGTTAGTTAACTGAGGTGAAACTCCAATCTGAATAGCAGGAAACAGGACCCTAAAACTTGGAAAAACTCATAGTTTATATAGAAGAGGGTGCTTTGGTTTAAAATGTGAGCAGCCTATTCTTAGGAGCAAAGGAAGTGCCAATTTGGAGAAAAGCAGAACACTCTTAATAGCCTTTGTTTTGAAACCATGTGTACAAAATAAGTAAATTTCTACTTTGGGGGTAAGAAAGAGACTCCATCAAATAGTCATACAAACTGAGGGATCTAGTTCCAAATGATGATCTAGGTAGAAGCCACCATGAAGGGAGAAGGTCTGGTATGGGGGTTGAGTAAGGTCTGGGGGGTTGAGTAAGGTCTGGTATGGGGGAAAGGCTCAAGTCATCTACAGAAACACTGGGATGATAATGCTGAAAAAGGAGAACTTCGTGTAAAGAAATTCATATGGAATGGCCCAAGAACTGAGGACTGAAAAGAAAGGTTAAAAAAAAAAAATCTTTCCCTTCTATTCATCTATGTGTTCACACACTGGGGCATTTTGCAGGGTGGAGGGTAGGAAGAGGGAGAGATCAGGAAAAACAACTAATGGATACTAGGCTTAATACCTAGGTGACTGAAATAATCTGTACAACAAACCCCATGACACAAATTTACCTATGTAACAAACCTGCACTTGTACCCCTCAACTTAAAATAAAAGTTAAAAGAAGAAGACTAGCACTAAAAAAAAAAAAAAAGGAAAAGTTTTTGAATTCTTGGTTTATGACTTTTTTATCAGGGTTCACACTTACTATTAAATAGTTTCAACACCTTCCTGGATCTATAACCACCAAAACATGTGATTTAGAGAATGTAGCATTCTGGAAAGATTTATATTGCTAGAAAGCCTAGTTTGTGGCATTATAGCACTACTTGCTATAGAGATGTAATGGGGATTCTGTTTTGGAACTATTAAGCCAATACATTATTCCTTGGTAGTTCCTAATTTCTAACATCTCAGAGCTACTATATCAAGAGGCCTGACTGACCTGACCACAGAGGTGGAGAGAATAGGCAGGATGGACACAATGTAAAAGAAACTCCTGCCCATGAAAATGGAGGAAATCTTCCCTTCCACCTAGAGGCAGCAAAAGAGGGATAGAAGAGTGAGAAAGCCAGACAGCAAGGATCTTATTCCCCTATACCACCAGCATCTACTTTAAGGAGGGAGTGGTGATATGTAGAAGTGACAAGATTCACATGAAGGCACTCAAGGTGCATCAGGGCTTCTCTGACTGTAGCCCAAGGGAGATGGCAGGTCTTTCCTATAAAAGAATGATTATCACAGTCTAGGGCATTTGTAAATGGATATAGGTAGGCACAGGAGACTGAGAAAGCTCTGGATGCCCTCCTTTTCTCTCTGCCAATGCCACAAAGTCCTGCAGATGACCCAGAAGTTCCTGCATTCACTAAGAGGATGCAAAGGTGATGAGAAGACTGCAAAGGCCTGGATTCAAAGACCCTTTAGGTCCCAGCAGTCCAAGACTAAGTCCCTGGACTGTGGGGACCTGAAGGGAGGGGTAGGTGAGTGGAATTCATGACCAGAGACACAAGGCTAGGAATTAAAAGATCAAACAGGAAGCTGGACTTCAACCATCACTGTCCATGAGTAAGGCTAAATGAACAGTTGAGACCATCAAAGATACACAGACTTCCCCTCCTCCATCATTATAAAGTAAGGTAAAGAAGTCAAGAAGATGGAGTGAAAGAGGGAGATCAGCCAGGCATGGTGGCTCACACCTGTAATCCCAACACTTTGGGAGGCTAAGGCGGGCGGATTACCTGAGGTCAGGAGTTCGAGACCAGCCTGGCCAACATGGTGAAATCCCGTCTCTACTAAAAATACAAAAATTAGCTGGGCGTGGTGGCACATGCCTGTAATCGCAGCTACTCGGGAGGCTGAGGTAGGAGAATTGCTTGAGCCTGGGAGATGGAGGTTGCAGTGAGCCGCGATCATGCCACTGTACTCCAGCCTGGTTGACAGAGTGAGACTCTGTCTCAAAAAAAAAAGAAAGAGGGAGATCTAAAAAACTAAACATTTATTCAAAATAGACTTAACCAAATAAGACTGAGTTCTCTGAAAGATACCATTTAGACAAAAGTTTCACAGATATCATTAATTACTAATTTAAAATTTTGTGATGAACCCCTATATCCCACATTATAGCAGCTAGGTGGATGCTCATGAGGAAGACATGATCAACTACAGATCACAAATTTATTCTAACTTTTTGCACATTTGATTTATCCCTATACTGAATGATATCAGTAAAGAAATAGTCCATAGTTAGAAGCTTATGCTAGGGCACACACACTGGCTATAAGAGAGTGGTTGCTACAGCCTTGAGGTTTATGCATAAGTAGGCAACAACAAAATCTTCTGCTATAAACAACTGAACATTAATGAATAATTTGGGAGAAGCCCCCTTAGATGGCCTTCTCTTTTATCTTTCTATTCTAACTAGGATACAGTATTTTAAAAATTGGGCCCAAATAGATATAAAATATTTATAATGGTACAGCATTTTTATGGTACAGATGTATAACCTACATTCTATCAACATGACTTATCACTGATAACTTTAAGTTTCATCACAAGGTCAAGGTAATGTTTGTCAGATTTCTCTACTGTAAAGCTACTTTCCGCCACTTTCCACAGTCTATTCTTTGGAAGCAAGTCACAAAGTTCAGTTCATACTCAAGGGGTGGGGAGTTAAGCTTCACCATCTTGAGGACAGGAATATCTACATAAATTATGTAAATTCTTCTGTACAGGAGATTTGTCTCTTCTTTCCAATTTACTTATTTATTTAATCATTTTTATCTAAGTATGAACTCATGAGTACTTGATAGTTTGGGTTATAATCTAATACTATGTAATTCATTTTGTTGACCAAATTTCTCTAGCTTTGGCCATTGAGACTTCTTTTGGGTTGACTCTTGCATCCCTTTGAAATGCTCCATCATTCTGTTTTTTGAACACTTCCTTACTTTCTGGCATGACACGATGCTGCAGGATCATCTTCTATATTCTCTACCCCAGATTTAGAATCAGTCATTTCTCCAAAGAGCCCTGGTTCCTTTTATTGGAGAATGATGTCAGAGACCAAGATCTGGGTAGGGGGTGTGCTTATTACCACTGAGGTATTATTCTATCTAAGCTCTCTCAGCAGATAGAGTGAGCTATATACAAACATAGCTACAATTATCCCTGTAACTATCCATCTTTCTATGTTAGAATGAGCTATATACAAACATAGCTAAAATTATCCTTGTAACTATCCATCTTTCTATGTATTAAGCTAAACATGAATTCATACTGATGTCTCTGTCTCTAATCCAGTACCACATTGTTGATTATAGTTTGTCCCCAACCCCTTGCTTCTCTGTTAACTTCAGTCTTTGACAGTGAGAAATCTGGATTCTGTCATCTACCATTCATTTACTCATCAATCAATTCTAGCAAACATGTAAAGCAAGCTCAGAGTTGTTAACTGGTAACCCCATGAGAAATAACTCTACCAACTAGAATACAGTTGTGCATGTCTAGTTCCCTTCATATTAATTCTTAAAATTCCCAGTCAACACACTGTTTTCTAAAGATACCTACATTAGTATCTTTTTTTCTCCACCTCCCATGTCATTAAATATCTTTCCAAAGATAGTGAAAAGATAGTGGCTAGATTGTGTTCTATGGAATGAGCATGCTAAAACTAATTTAACATTTTCTTAGGATGTTACTTTGAGTTGTTTTAATCATTATACTGAAGACTTCATGTTTGTCTGAACACATAGATGACCTTAGACAAGGAAATAGACTACCCAGAATTATATTATTTTAGAATGCAAAGAACTTTAGATACCAACTGTTCTTGCAACCAATGCTGGAATGTTATCTCCCTAGTAGATGCTTTTGGCAGGAACAATGAACTCATTATTTTCCAAGGAGTACAGTTATTATTTGAGTAGCTATAATGTGTAGTATCTTATTACTTCTAGTGTCCCCAATAAAATGCTGGGCTTTTGTTGTGCTTAATATAGCCAACATTTAGGACATCAACTATAGTATTTAATTTCAACCTTGCAAATATGTTTTAAAGAAATTAAGCCCCTGAAAACCCTGAAGATAAACAAAATAAAAATAACAGCAACTGGCTTTTTATATGTGAAATTAAGTGAAGTTTCTGGTAATACATCATGTTTTACTGGCAAATTGAACTATATACTGTACATCTTTTTCTTGCTTAACCTCCATAATTGAGAGAAAATGATATACAATTATATCAAGTTAAACTACACAGAATGTTCTGATTGTTACTACTGACTTAAAAGAGTTGTTATCTCAATATATCTAATCATCAGCAAATTCTTTTAGTTTCAATTTTATTGACTCTTTCATACAAACAACAACAACAAAGAATATAGGGAGTTAATGTGAAATAGTCAAAAGTCTGCTAGACCAGGAATCAGTAGTCCTGGGTGCTCACTGCCACAGAAACATTAATTTTGTGCTTAGACAAGTAACTTATTTTTGTTTCAATTTCTTTGTCAATAATAAAAGGGTAATAGAACATAAGTAGATAAACTCCAAGGGTTTCCTGGATATTTTGTCTTCCTTTACATAACCCAAATTCATTTGCAAGGAGAAAGAAAGGGTTATAGTAAATACATTTGTTGAAAATATGATTAATCATTTTTAAATATGTTAAATATCTTAAAATCTTAGAATAACTGTCGCCATACAGTGCAGTACTGTGCAAGCTCTGCCCACACTGGATTCCCAGGTTCACTAGCTATGCAACTTAAACAGCAGATTTTTGTCTTTAAAATACAGCTAATAATGATAATTACCATGAAGAGTGGCAGTGTGGATTAAAGGAAACAACGAATGTGAAAAGCCCAGTACCAGGAATACAGGAAGCACTGAATGATAGTTGCCCTAGAATAGAATTATAAGGAGATTATAAGGAGACTTCACTACAGAGGTAATGACTGATAGGTAATATGTCTCATATGTCTGATAGGTTAAATGTCTTTCTATGTCTGGGTGCAACAATTTGGACTTGTTTGTTTCCCTTTTCTTGCCTAATTGCTCTAAGACTTCTAGTACTATGTTGAAAAGAAGTGGGGGAGAGTGAGCAACCTTGGCATGTTCAGAGGAGAAGCTTTCGGGTTTTACCACTGAGTATGATGTTAGCTGTGGGCTTTTCATGTATGACCTTTATCGTGTTGAGGGTACATTCCTTCTATACCAAGTTTGTAGAGTTTTTATCATGAAAAGATGTTGACTTTTGTCAAATGCTTTTTCTGTACTATTGGGATAACTGTGGTTTTTATTCATTCTGTTACTCTAATGTGGTATAATTACATTGATTGATTTACAGATGTTGAATCACCCTTATATCCCAGAGATAAATCCCACTTGGTCATGGTGCATGATCTTTTTAATGTGCTGTTGAAGTTGGTTTGCTAGTTTTTTGTTTTTTGTTTTTTTTGACGGAGCCTTACTCTGTCACCCAGGCTGGAGTGAAGTGGTGCAATCTCGGCTCACTGCAACCTCTGCCTCCCAGGTTCAAGCAATTCTCCTGCCTCAGCCTCCTGAGTAGATGGGATTACAGGCATGTGCCACCACGTCCAGCCAATTTTTGTATTTTTAGTAGAGATGGGGTTTCACCATGTTGGTCAGTCTAGTCTCGAACTCCTGAACTCAAGAGATCTGCCCACCTCGTCCTCCCAAAGTGCTGGGATTACAGGCATGAGCCACCGCACCCCAGCCTGGTTTGCTAGTATTTTTAAGCAATTGTTGCAACTCTGTTCATCAGGGTGTATGTTTCTTGTTCCATATTACATTCCCAGAAGGACTAACACAATTGAAAGATATCAATATGAACAAATATATAAATAAGGTAAGCATGTATTTTTCTCTGACTTAATAGCAAAGCTTTGTCCAGCTTACACATAGAGACATTGGTTCCTCTTTGGTTTCTGGAATACGAGTCACTCATATGCCCAGCCATTATAATCAGGTTTTATTTAACTTTTGTGAGAACTAATTCAGAGACTGACTCATCTGACCTGTGACACCTGCCTATAGATTCTACCTCTAGTTTGTCAGAAAACTTCCTTGGTGCAAAAACAAACATCAAAGCATTTCAACCGTCAATATATTTAATGCATTTATCCCTTATTCTAAAGAAAGAAGGCACACACAAAGGGAGCTCTGGACAGCAGGGGAAATGAAGAAAAAAGATATTTTGAAAACAAGAGCTGGCACTATGTAACCAGCAGTGCTGAGGGGAATTCACGCTGGATCTGGGCAATGGTAGCAGCCTAATCCCAGAAAGAGACTGCTCATCAATGGGGACTGTCACAGGTCTCAACTTGTCTCAGATGAACCCTCACCTGCACTCTCCACATCCCTTAGTTTTGAACCATGGCTCATAAAACAAATAATAATTCACTTTCACTTAATAATGGCAAATGAGTTGCTCTGTAGAGGACGTCAAACTACTAGTTACTAATACTATTACCAAAACTCTTCTGCCTGACATTTCCCCTGATTCTTAGGTCTTTTTATTACCTTATTGTATTTTTATGATTATTATGTTACTCTCCATACCATATTTAATGTATATTAAGATAATAATCATTTGTTGATTAACTCTTCTCTGGTCAGAGGTAAACAACTAAGTTCCTTTTGTTAAACTTTAATAACTATGATATTCAAAGCAGGAAAAATATCAGCTGCTACATTTGCTTCCCAGTTAAGAATTAAGATAATTATGATTAAGAGATACCCCATCCACACCATTACACTGGTAGAGAAAGTACTTTAAAAAATATACAACATTGCACATCCAAAAGAGAAAACATAAAATTTAATCCTATGGATTTCCATAGGATTTTATGTTCCAGGATGGAACAGAGTACACAACTGCTGTACACAGATACACACAGCAACACACTATGAACATTTTGCTTTCCAACTTCTCCTGGAGCTTCCAAGTCATCACAGACCACAGTTTTTACCAACTGCTTTGCCACTATAATACTCAAATACTATAACACTTGCCACTATAATACTCAGTAATACTCAGATTACCATCTTTCCAGTTTCCAGCATCAATTTCCTTGCCATTTGCTGCCCATCCCTTAATACACAAATTTCAGCTTTCCGTTATGGCAGCGCCCCATTTCTAGGGATGACTTTTTGTAAACATCAGAATGGGTTATTTTAGGCTACAGTATCAAACAGTCCTTAAATCTCAGTGGATTATTTCTCACTCAAACTACAAGTCTGCAGTGTTATCAAGGATGCTTGTTTTATCCTGGTCATTCAGGGAATCCAAATGACAAGGGCTCCAGCTAGACACAGGCTTCCACAATTGCAACTGAAAAGAGAGCTCCTTTTGGCTGAGAGTGGTGGCTCATGCCTGTAATCCCAGAATTTTGTGAGGCCAAGGCGGGCAGATCGCGAGGTCAGGGGTTCAAGACCAGCCTGACCAACATGGTGAAACTCCCTCTCTTCTAAAAATACAAAAATTAGCCGGGTGTGGTGGTGCATGCCTGTAATCCCAGCTACTCAGGAGTCTGAGGCAGGAGAATCTCTTGCACCCAGGAGGCACAAGTTGCAGTGAGCCAAGATTGGGCCACTGTACTCCAGCCTGGGTGACAGAGCAAGAAACCGTCTCAAAAAAAAAAAAAAAAAAAAGAAAGAAAGAAAGAAAGAAAGGAGCTCCTTTCAGTGCATCTCATTGAATATTAAATATTTCCACCTAGATATGGCACATGCCAATTTTATTCACATTTGCCTTGATCAAGGCAAGTCATGTAATCAGAGGGGGGAGAAAGGTGAAATCCTCTTACGTGTCTGGAAGGTGAAGACCTGGAGTATTTGTGAAGCCCTAATGAGCACTAGATCTCCCAATCCCTTCTTCCACCAATTCCTCTACTAATCATAGAAGTCTATTTTGTCTTTTTTTTTTTTAAAAAAAGCTAAGGCTTTGGGAAATATCATCCTAAAATTCTTCCCTTCAAAAGCATACAAATTGTTTCTCTAGAGAGTACACAAATCAGGGGGATAGAAGCTAACATGAATATCATATTACTTGTTCTTTATGTAGCTGTTCTTTTACCTCAGACACAAGTCAGTGAAAATGGTTGTTGGTAACGCCTCTGAAAAATAGAAGAGCATAAGGCATTCATATAGCATTTAGATTCTTAGATCTTTACTCTTTTTCATTATCAAAAGGACTACGGAAAGGGCTTTGGAAGAGATCTATACATATTCCTCCCTTTCCGCCTTTCAAATATTGCCACTATTTAGGCTCCCTTGCAATATGAAAGCCCAGGTGCTACAGCAGCCTCATCTTTGCACAACTGCAGAAAGAAATAGGAACCATTTTCTTCAACGTAGAGACACCTATCACTGAAAATTAAGGAAGAACTCAGTTTCTGACAGGTGTTTGTGAGTTAAAGCAGCTACAAGTAGGTAAGAGATATGTTTACTAGAACAAAATTACATGTTGTGCTGCTCAAACTGCTGTGCATAGTCACATTGCAACTTAAGAAAGATTTCCTTTGCAAAATTTTTTCTCCACCATACATTTTTTTTCACACTAATCGCTCTTTCCTTAACTAAAGCAAAATCAAAAGAAAATACCCATTTTTGAGTGGGTGACATAAAGTATGTAAATACTGTCTTTTATTTAATCTAAAACCTTGCCAATGAGTTTTGTATTTTATCTCCTAGGGCTAAAAGAACAAAACCAAACCAAACCCCAAATGCCCTTTTTACTTGCTAAATCCCTTTTATGCGAAAAGTATGAATAAAAAGGAAGATTTCTTTACTTCCCACATAATTTCTATATTCAACTTTTTCCATCAGCTTTTCCTTTTTTACAACCATGAATACCATTGTCAAGATAATCTAAATGTATAGAAATGGATAAAATGGAAAAAAATTTTAAAGTGGCATTTAAATTGTTCTTCAGTTACTTTATGCAATGATTTGAAATACTACTTTTGAAATATAACAGTGAAAACAATCTCTCTAATATATTGCCTAATTATTAATAATTTTACAGAAAGAATAACTACAAAAAAGTGTGAATTTTAGTTGCTCTCTATTTAAGAATATTATCTACTTGCCAGTGACTAATTAAATTATCATTTTTACAACATTTAAACTACGTTTTAGAATACCCACTGGGCTATGTTATCACATATGTTAAAAATAAACCCATTTGAGGCCGGGTGTGGTGGCTCACACCTGTAATCCCAGCGCTTTGGGAGCCCAAGGTGGGTGGATCATCTGTGGTCAGGAGTTTGAGACCAGCCTGGCCAACATGGCAAAACCCTGTCTCTGCTAAAAATACAAAAACAAAAAACAACAACAAAAAAAACTAGCTGGGCGTGGTGGTACGTGCCTGTAATCCCAGCTACTCTGGAGGCTGAGGCAGGAGAATCACTAGGACCTGGGAGGCAGAGGCTGCAGTGAGCCGAGACTGTGCCACGCACTCCAGCCTGGGCTACAGAGTGAGATTCTGTCTTAAAAAAAAAAAAAAAAAAAAAAAAAATTAAAAAAAAAATTTGTAAGACATTGGTGATATATAGACCTGAGTGATAATGTTCAAAGAAAAAATCATATTAATGGATTTCTCTCCTCTGAAACAGCAATCATGATTAAGAACAGCTAATGACAACAATCATAGGGGCCTATAGAATACATGGCTTACCCTTGCAAATAGTATACATGTGACCTTGGTAACTAGCAGAGAACAGTCATCAATCAGCTACCTTTGAAGATACATGTATTACTCCATTCTCATGCTGCTGTGAAGAAATACCCAAGAACGGGTAATTTATAAAGAAAAGAGGTTTAAATGACCCACCATTCCGCATGGCTGGGAAGGCGTCAGAAAACTTACAATCACAGCTGAAGGGGAAGCAAACACGTCCTTCTTCACATGGCAGCAGGAGAGAGAAGTGCCAAACAAACGTGGAAAAGCCCCTTATAAAACCATCAGATCTCTTGAGACCTCACTATCACGTGAACAGCAAGGGGGTGACCGCCCCCATGATTCAATTACCTCCCACTGGGTCCCTCCCACGACAAGTGGGGATTATGGGAACTACAATTCAAGATGAGATTTGGGTGGGGACATAGAGTGAGACCGTATCAGTACACTAATAAGAAACATGTGTAAACATAGTAAATAAATATTGTTTTAAGAGAGACCATCCATAAACACATTTGATATTAGTTTACCTCCTTTCAAATTCTGACTTTTAAAACCCATGTGGGGAATTTTGTAGGGAAGAGGGCTCCCAAGAACTGTATGTTCTTCTTTAGCACCCTACCTAAACAAGAATGAACATTAATCATTTGGAAATTTGCACACTGATGTATCTTTTGTTCTCCTAGAGGCAGTCCTAGTGTAATAATTACAAACTAGGGCTCTGGAGTCAGAGAACTATGCCTATAACAATAGCACCTATCTTATGGGATTGTCATGATTAAATAAATAAAGATATAGGATGTAAAGTCTTTGGCCTGCTGCCTCAAGCAAAACATACTATCAATAAATATTTCTTATAATCATTAAATTATATATTATTCAGAAAAGCTATATGGGAAGTTTACAAATAGGAAAAAAGATGGAGGTTAAATAGTACCATAGGCCACATGTGACCCATGAAGATGAGGTGTGAATACACAGCTAAAAAATCATATTCATTTTCATAACAGTATTGAAAATCCACTTTTGTTTACCTGTTAAGAATTGAGTTCAACATGTCCTATATCTCCAGCAACATTTAATGATAGTACTAAAGCACAAAAGATAACATAGAGTGTATATTTTCCTCAAGTACTTAGTTACTATGATTTTTGAAGCTTTTGCATTAAAAAAAAAATCAACCGCCAGAATTAAATCCAAGAATAAACAGATTTTTTTCTCTTTTGTTTCAAAAGGCAGGTATACAGGATAATATACATCAGAGCCAGCTATAATCAATTACAGTAGTCCCCCTTATCTGGTGGGCGTACATTCCAAGACCCCCAGTGGATACTTGAAGTCCTGGATAGTATTAAACCCTATATATCCTATGCACAAACATTTTTCCTTCTTTACAATTGCAGGGACAGAAGATCCATTCTTACCATATTTCTCAGCATACGATATGTTAACCTCAGTGTATGATCTTTTTTCTTTCCTTATTAAGTAGAGAACTTTCACCTTTTCACTTAAAGGAAGCCATATCACTTCTCTTTGGCTTAACCCAAATTGCCAGCATCAATACTCTTGTGCTTTGGGGCCATCATTAACTAAAATAAGGATCACTTGGACACAGCACTGCAATACCTTAACAATAGATCTGATAAGTGAGATAGCTACTAAGTAACTAAAGGGCAGGTAGCATCGACAGCATGGATAGACGCTAGACAAAGAGACGATTGATCTCCCGGGAGGGTATGAGGCTTCATCACACTACTCAGAACAGCACACAATTTAAAATGTATGTATGGTTTATTTCTGGAACATTCCATTTAATATTTTCAGACTGCAGTCGACCAAGGGTAACTGAAACCAGGGAAAGCAAAACCATAGATAAGGGGGAAATACTGTAGAACATTTATAAGTGTTAGTTTACATAACTTTTCTTGGGATTATATAATTATTCAACTGTATATTATATCACACAGAATCATTGTGCTTGGGGAGTGTCCCACAGCCACGTGAAAGTGCCCTTCTTGCTGCCTCTCCATTCCTATCTTTTCTGTTTGAACTTGTTCACGTACACATAAATAATGGTGACTTCACAAAAAACAAAGTTCCATAAGACATGGATTGTTTTTTAATTGCAAAGATTGGGCTGGAGAGCTAAACGAAACTACATAAAGAAGAAATGCCAATGTAGAAGATGTGATTTATAAAGAGGTTCCTTTTCTTTATCACTTCTCAGAGCAAAATCATATCCTGTCAAATATACTAGGCAATTTAGTATTTATAGGAGACAGTTTCATCTATCAGATTTTACTGATGAAAATTACAGCTTGTTTTTGCTGAGTCAAGAACTTACCTCTGGTCAAATCTTAATTCTATCACTATATTAGCAAAACTTCTGTTTTATAAATGTGAATATACACAATATGTAAGAAGAAATTAATTCATAAAATAATTAGGATAATGGTTTTAATGGAGCATAGTAGCTACCAAAAATGTCCCTCTAGATAGAATTCTATAATTGTAAGGAAAATTACATCCAACTAAAGTCCTTCAGTGAATGAGGCAAGGCAGAAATAAATAAGTGAAACAATTTCCTACCAGAATAAAGTGATCCTAACATTTCCTTTCTTCCAGAAAGCTCTTGCTGATTTTCCCCAGTCAGGATAGGGTTTGTCCTGAAGCATCATATCAGTGACCTGAAGCAATGAAAGGAACTTATTCAGCACTTTCAGAAATCTTAAAATCAGATTTAACTATAAGCCTATAATTTACATTCTATTGAGAACAGAATAAGTATACGTTTTAACATTATAACATATGCAGAAACAAAAATTAGGATATACTTCATTCAATTAAAAACTTTAATAGTTTCTTCGACTGTACATACAGAATGAGCACATTTAAAGTCATTCAACATGTCAGATATTAAGAATTTTTTAAATATTAAGATTACCGGATATAAGACAGTACCATAGAAACAAAGCATATGTAACAAATAAAATACTATATTCTTTTAAAGTTTGTCTAAATCCAAAACTCAAGCATTCCCTGATGTCTAGATTTTTAGCGATATCATTAATCAAAATATTATCTTCTCTTTTCCTCTTCCTTACTTCTTCCAGCTATATGTGTGGTAAAGTACTCGTACCCAGTTCTACAGCATATTTATTCTAATTAGCTAGCATTCTCTCACCCACAATTCTGTGCCTTCATCTAAAAATGTTCTTCCTCTTTTCCTCACCTGCACAGATTCTGCCCATCTTCCGAGGCCTAAGTCATATTACTATTGTGATGTCTTCACTGTTCTCTCCCACTTATAGAAAACTTGTGGTTCTTGACCCATCCTTCTCATGTCATGTATCACCTTCTACCTTCTCTTTTACTTACTTATATGCTTTTTTCTCTCTTCACTAGGCTTTGAAATCCTT
The DNA here is from genome assembly GCF_000001405.40 of Homo sapiens. Taxonomy (NCBI): domain Eukaryota; kingdom Metazoa; phylum Chordata; class Mammalia; order Primates; family Hominidae; genus Homo; species Homo sapiens. The sequence goes on along the minus strand of NC_000012.12, from coordinate 44,210,557 downwards.
GCCAGTGAAGATCTTTCTACCTCTTCTAAGAATGTCAAAGGGATTTTTATATACTAGACCAAAATATTTGTTCAAGAAGAAATGATAAAATAAATTAAGATATAAATGCCTGTTTTTAAAGATCCATTAACAAAGTACATTTCTCATCTACCACATCACATATTAATGGTTTCAGCAGAAGCCCAAAGTATTATAAATAGTTAATCTATTAGAAAGGTATTTTAAAAATCCAATGAGGATGGAGAATAAATTTCCTTTAAAAAAGTGTTACATAAATGTGTGTGTATGTTATACACATGCACATTTTTTCCACTCCCAGAAAATCTGCCTTCCCTTCAAGAGAAGAGAACACCATTCCATTACTTATGATTTTAATTAATAATGTTCAAATCCAGACAAGACAGATTCAAAATTATGAAAACAGAAACGAAATGAGGTTTACTGCATTGAGTAAGAGAGAATTTTCGTCATCCACTAAAATAAATTTTTCTCTTGTGCTTAAAGCTTTATCATTGCATTTGAGTATAGCTTTGAACAGTGGCCTTGAAATGGGTGAAATTTAATCATTTATGATGAAAGATTGTGATTCAGTGGGGAGTCCTTTTAGATCAGTGACCCCTTCAATAATACCGGACTTCCTGTGGAAGGCACATCAATTCTCAAGCAGGGTCATCCAAAATGGTCTCTGGAAACATTCACCGGCATGTCAATGCTTCACATGCTCACTTAGGTGACACAATCAGAATGGTGGATAAGGATTCCAGTTTTCAGGAAAGATCTGATTTTAATTCTTCATATTATTTCTCAATGTCATTTCTAGGAATAGAGTTCCCAAGATTCTCTTGGTTGATGAAAACCAAAGTTAGTCCATTCCCCTTCACTGAGTAACACTACAGATTTATGTAGGCTCTATCTAACATAGGGCCTACAATAATTTGTGGCTTCATTGTTGAATCAAAAAAGATTCAACAATCATGCATGGTTTTAATATAAACTTTCAGTTCATTTCTCTTTAAACTGTCAATCACTATATAAATGTGAATGCAACTAATATTAAGAATTCAAAAAGGAAAACACTTTTTGCTTATTTTTAAAGAGAAACTAGTTCATCGATGATTTTTTCAACTGTTTATTTTCTTCTTGATCCTTTTAAATTACAGGATTATATTTTCTCACTCAAACTAATGCCCATGGATTGTATTTTCCATCAAAATGATTCATGATACTTATCAAAAGGAGTAAGGGGAAGATGATAGAATAAAAATTAACCATGAATCAAGTGAATTACATTGTTACTGGAAAAAAAGAATAAAGTTGAAAATAGAGAAATTTAAATCTCACATACTCTTAGGTATAAAAAGAGCTTTATATCGTAACTTCTCTAGAGGAAGAAATTGCTGTTTTTTCCAAATACAACAATTTCAGCCACTGTTCCTTTATAACCTTCTTTAATAACAGGTCTAGTGTCAAATATTTTAACAAAACCTAAAGGTTACATGAATAAATAGGTAAATAAATATTTCTTGTTGCATTAGACTTTTAAAAGATTTAATTAATTCTCTTAGGCAATATTTATCCTGTTCCAGAAAGAATCAACATGGTAATAAATATTTCCAAGGAACAGAATGATTACTGGGTGGGTTTTATTCAATTTTCAATGTTTTCTCCAGGGCACTTTCTGGGAAATACTTATTATATTTTCTAGAAGGAGACAATCTGCTGCTGTATGACCAATTACTACAGCTGCATGTTGTGTAAAAATGACATTCAAGGATAAAGCATTTTCTCAGGAAAATGGTTAGATGAAGCAAAAAAAAAAAAAAAAAAAAAAACATTCTTTCTGATGCCAGGCAGCTGATCTTTGCCACCTCCAGCTCGAACTCTTTATTTTTTAAGTCATATTATCAGATCAATGTCAGGTCACTTGTAGCTAAATTGGCAGAAGCAGAGACAGTCATTAAAGGTATGCATTCCATAAAGAAAAATCCAATTATCTCCTGCATTAGAGAAATCAAATTCATTTCTGGTGTTGGTCAAGGACAGTCTTTGTGGGAAAAGATGCCAGAAAGGGAGACTAAAGACAATGCCATGAGGTTTCTGTGTAGCATAAATACACAAAACCTGTGAATACCTCTCTCACAGGCAGGTATTAGAATTTGAAATTGCAAATCTTTCTATGCTGGGAGAAATGTGCATAACTCTTTGAGTCTCAGAATCCTTCCCTTCCCCTTTCCTCTCTACTAGGTCTCTGTACAGAACTCAGAACCTCATTATGGCACTCACCGCATCATGGCTTGTCAGATAATCTTTTTCAATAGAATATAACTTATTTTAGAATACATATTGTACAATCTGAGCAAAAACATGCATTTTGAGGTTTAAAAGTCAGTAAATGATTGTAAAAAACAATTATCTCTACAGAAATCTAAGTGAAATCTTTGCTTTCCTTTGAGGTGAGCCTATATGATGCCAGGCAACAACAGCATGAAAATAGCAATGATGAGAGTTATACTTCACATTTGCTATACAGCTTCATGGATTACAAAGCTCTTAATGGATTTTTCTTATTAAGAGTCACAGCAACTTTGTAAAGTAAGTCATTATTTTCCACCTTTCAGCAATGGAGGAAGAGAAGTCAATGAAGTTAAATAACAGAGCAAGGTCACACATCTATACCATTATGTGCACTATTTCCAGAGCCAGCCTGCCTGGGTTCTAACCCTAAATATATTTCTTAGTAGGTTTTTTTTTTTTATTTAGGGCAAGGTAATTAACCTCTCTGCACCTTGTTTTCTTATTAATCACCTATGAGCACAAAATATGTATATTAGCAGGTGGTATAATAATTATTGGTGTGTTGTTGTTCGTATCTGAGATTTCTATCCCATCACTTTGCTTCACATCAGTAATACAACACACAAATGAATTTAGAGTCAAAGGATTTGACAATCAATCTTTTCTATAAAGACAAGACTATCATATACTGAACTATTAGAAAATGATAAAGACATAATTTAATGTTGAACTATGATACAGTCTATAATTGCTATTAAAAATCAGAGGAAGGAGGTCACTGAAGGCTGCAGTCGTCTAAGAGGGCTTCATAAAATATTTGTGTGACAAAACTGAGTATTAATTGACATTCTGTATGATTCTCTACTTTTGCCATTCTTATCTTCTTAGCCTGATTACAAGCTAATTCCCACGCAGGTACTACATATACTGTATCTAAAGTCATATTTGATATAGTTGTATGCTAAGCATGTGATATTCATGTAAAATATTGATTTATTAGGGATACAAGACCAAAATAGAAAAATAACTATGGCTATGTAGTGTCACTCTTGAGGTAGCCACTAATTGGTGGAGTATCATTTAAGATAAACAAATGTTATTCTATCAATAAACAAGCATATACATAAAGGATATTAATGAACATAATAGATAAAATTTTATTTGATAGTTTGTCATTTTATTTATTTCTACTTAACAATATACTGACTTCATTCAATATTAGCACATATAAAGCTGTTTAGATAGTTTCTTCTTGCTTTAATTGTCCATCATACCTTTTTAAAAATTTTTTTGACTTTTCAGTTCAGGGAGTACATGTGCAGGTTTGTTGCATGGGTAGATTGTGTGTCACTGGGGTTTGCTGTACAAGTGATTTCATCACTCAGGTAGTGAGCATAGTATCCGATAGGTGGAAGTTTTTGGTCCTCACCCTCCTCTCACCCTCCCCACTCAAGTAGGCCCTTGTGTCTGTTGTTCCCATCATTGTGCCTCCATATATTCAATGTTTAGATGCCACTTATAAGTTAGAATATGCAGTATTTGGTTTTCTGTTCCTTTATTAATTTGCTTAGGATAATAGTCTCTAGCTGCATCCATGTTGCTGCAAAGGACATGATTTCATTATTTTTTATGGCTGCATAGTACTTGATGGTATTTATGTATTACATTTTCTTTATCCAGTCCACCACTGATAGGCATTTAGGTTGATTCCACATCTTGCTATTGTGAATAGTGCTGCAATAAACATCCATGTGCATTTGTCTTTATGGTACAACAATTTATATCCTTTAGGCATATGCCTGCTGGGAACAGGCCCCCAAATCTGGCCATAAACAGGCCATGAGAAACTGGCCATAAACAAGATCTCTGCAGCACTGTGACATGCTCATGATGGTTATGATGCCCACGCTGGAGGTTGTTGGTTTACCGGAATGACGGCAAGGAAAACCTGGCCCACCCAGGGCAGAAAACTGCTCAAGGCATTCCTAAACCACAAACAATAGCATGAGCGAGCTGTGTCTTAAGGACATGTTCCTGCTGCAGATAACAAGGCAGAGCCTGTCCCTTTGTTTCCCATAAGGAATGCTTTTAGCTAATCTAACGTTGTGCACATGTACCCTAGAACTTAAAGTATAATAAAAAAATAATAAAATAAAATAAAATTAAAAGAAATAATGCTTACCATTGGCTTGCTGTCAATAAATATGTGGGTCAAACTTTGTTCATGGCTCTCAGCTCTGAAGGCTGTCAGCCCCCTGATTCCCACTTTGCACTCCATTTCTGTGTCTTTGTCTTAATTCCTTCAGCTTCTCTGGGTTAGGGTCTCCACGACAGAGCTGGTCTCGGCATATGCCCAGTAATGGGATTGGAAGGTCAAATATTAGTTCTATTTTAAGTTCTTTGTGAAATCTCCAAACTGCTTCTCACAGTGGCTGAACTCATTTACATTCCCACCAGCAGCATATAGGCATTCATTTTTCTCTGCAGCCCAGCTGGCATCTGTCATTTTTTTTCTTTTTAATAGCCATTCTAACTAGTGTGAGATGGTATCTTATTGTGGTTTGATTTGCATTTCTCTAATGATTAGTGATGTTGAGCTTTTTTCTTCATATGCTTGTTGGCCATGTGTATGTCTTCCTTTGATAAGTGTCTGTTCATGTCCTTTGCCCATTTTTTAATGAGATTATATATTTGTTTTCTTGCTTGTTGATTTATTTAAGTTCCCTATAAATTCTGGCTACCAGACCTTTGTCAGATGGATATTTTGCAAGTATTTTATCCTATTCTGTAGTGTATTCATCTGTTCTCACACTGCTAATAAAGACATACCCAAGACTGGGTAATTTATAAAGGAAGAGGTTTAATGGACTCACAGTTCCACATGGCTGGGAAGGTCTCACAATCATGGCAGAAGGCAAAGGAGAAGCAAAAGTATGACTTACATAGCAACAAACAAGAGAGCTTGTACAGGGGAACTCCCATTTATAAAACCATCAGGTCTCGTGAGTCTTATTCACTACCACAAGAACAGTATGGGGGAAACTGCCCCCATGATTAATTATCTCCACTGGCACCTCCCTTGACATGTGAGGGTTATTACAATTCAAGGTGAAATTTGGGTGGGCACACAGCAAAACCATATCATGTAGGTTGTTCATTTACTCCATTGATAGTTTATTTTGCTGGGCAGAAGCTCTTTAGTTTATGTCCCACATGTCCATTTTTGTTTTGGTTGCAATTGCTTACGGGAACTTCGTCATAAAATTTTTGTCAATGCCTATGTTCAGAATGGTGTTTCCTATATTTTCTTCTAGGGTTTTTATAGTTTTAGATCTTATATTTAAGTCTTTAATCCATCTTGAGTTGATTTTTGTATATGGTGAAAGGAAGGGGCCGGTTCCATTCTTCTGCATATGGCTAGCCAGTTATCCCAGCACGATTTATTGAATAGGGAGTCCCCTCCCCATTGCTTGTTATTATCAACTTTGTTGAAGATCAGATGGTTGTAGGTGTATGGTTTTATTTCTGGGTTCTCTAACCTGTTCCACTGGTCTCTGTATTTGTTTTTGTACCAATATGCTGTTTTGGTTACAGTAGATTTGTAGTGTAGTTTGAAGTCAGGTAGTGTGATGCCTCTGATTTTGTGCTGTTTGCTTAGGATTGCTTTGGCTATTTGGGCTCTTTTACTGTTCCATACGAATTTTAGAATAGACTATGGGTAATTCTGTGAAAAATGGTAGAAATAGCACTGAATCTGTAAATTGCTGCAGAAAATACAGCAATTTTAATAATATTGATTCTTCCTATTCATGAACATAGAATGTTTATCTATTCATTTGTGTCATCTCTGATTTCTTTCAAAAGTGTTTTCTAATTCTCATTGTAGATACATCTTCCACCTGCCTGGTTAGCTGTATTCCTATGTATTTTTTTCTTTTTGAGGCTATTGTGAATGAGATTGTGTTCTCAATTTGGCTCTCAGCTTGGACATTATTGACATACAGAAATGCTGCTGATTTTTGTACACTGATTTTGTATCCTGAAACTTTACAGAAATTGTTTATCAGTTTAGGAGCCTTTTAGGGTTTTCTAAGTATAGAATCATATTGTCTGAGAAGAGAGAGAATTTGGCTTCCTCTCTTCCTATTTATTTCTTTCTCTTCCCTGATTGCTTTGGCTAGGAATTCCAGCGAATTCCAGCAAATTCCAGCACTATTTTGAATAGTAGTCATGAGAGTGGGTATCCTTGTCTTGTTCCGGTTCTCAGGGGAAATGCATCCATATTTTGCCCCTTAAGCATGAAGTTAGCTGTGGGTTTGCCATAGATGGCTCTTATTACAGAATATACATTATTCTCAGCTGCACATGACACATACTCTAATATCAACCATATGCTTGGCCATAAAGCTATTCTCAACAAATTCAAAAAAAGAAAAATCATACCAACTACACTCTCAAACCACAACATTATACAAATAGAAATCAATATCAAGAAGATGTATCAAAACCATACAATTAAATGAAACTTAAACAATCTGCTCCTGAATGACATTTGGGTACAGAGTGAAATTAAGGCACAAATAAAAAGTTCTATGAAACAAATGAAGACAAAGAAAGAGCATACCAGAATCTCTAGGACAAAGCTAAGGCAGTGTTAACTGGAAATTTCATAGTGCTAATCACCTACATCAAGTTAAAAGGATCTCAGATTAACAACCTAACATCATACCTAGAGGACTAGAAAAACAAGAGCAAACCAACCCCAAAGCTAGCAGGAGAAATGAGTAACCAAAACCAGAGCTGAAATGAACAAATTTGAGACACGAAAATCCATACAGAAGATGAACGAAACAAAAAGTTGGTTCTTCAAGAGAGTAAACAAGATTGATAGAGTGCTACCCAGATTAAGTTAAAAAGAGAGATTTAAATCAACACAATTAGAAATGACAAAAGGGACATTATCACTGACCCCACAGAAATACAGAAGAACCTCACAGACTGCTGTAAGCATTTCTATGGATAAAAATTAGAAACACTTGAAGAAATGGATAAATTCCTGGTAACATATAACTTCCCAAGATTGAACCGGGAAGAAACTGAAATCCTGAGAAGACCGAAACAAATTTCAACATTGAATCAGTAACAACAACAACAACAACAACAACAAAGGCCATGTGTGGTGGCTCACCCCTGTAATCCCAGCATTTTGGGAGGCCAAGATGGTCAGATCACCTGAGGTCAAAAGTTTGAGACAAGCGTAGCCAACATACCAAAACCCTGTCTCTACTAAAAATATGAAAAAGAAAAAAATCCAGGCGTGGTGGTACACACCTGCAATCCCAGTTACTCAGGAGGCTGAGGCAGGAGAATTGCTTGAACCCTGGAGGCAGAGGCTGCAGTGAGCAGAGGTGGTGACACTGCACTCTAGCCTGGGTGACACAGTAAGACTCCATCTAAAAAAAAAAAAAAGCTACCACTTCCAAAGGAGTCCTGGACCAGATGGATTCACAGCCAAATTCTATCAGACATGCAAGAAGAGCTAGTACCAATCCTACTGAAATTATTCCAAAAATCAAGGAAGAGGAATATCTCCGTAACTCATTCTATGAGGCCGGCATCATTGTGATACCAAAACCTTGAAGAGTCACAATGAAAAAAGAAAACTGTAGTCCAGTATCCCTGATGAACATACACACAAACATCTTCAACAAAATACTAGCAAACAAATCCAGCAGAATATCAAAAAGCTAATCCGCCACAATCAAGTAGGCTTTATTCCTAGGATGCAAGTTTGGTTCATTATATGCTAATCAATAAATACGATCCATTTACTGGATCACATGAACAGAATTAAAAAGTTACCACGTGATCATCTTAATAGATGCAGAAATGGCTTTTGATAAAATTCAACATGGCTTCACGTTAAAAATAAACAAACTAGGCATCAAAGAACCATCATACCTTTTTATGTGCATTCTTCTAAAATATGAAAGGTTTCTATTTTGTTCTAATTATCTTTATAATTAGACTTCATTTAGGCATGTATTAATATTTTCTATTTATTTAGATTTTACTTACTCCCTACTATGAGCATAAACAACAAAATTTTATTTCTGCTTCCTCCCCTTTTGTCTTCTTCCCCTTCACTACCCTATTTTATTATTTTTCCTATTAACATATTTAACTCTTTGAATATCTTATATTCCTATTTTATTTATCATCTTTGATATATAAAAGATATCATCTTGATATATAAAGATGATATATATAAAGATATCACATGATATATCACATGATATAAAGATACCACATGATATCTTCTCCCCTCATCTATAAAAAATGAGAAAATAAAAATATTTTACTTTCTTACACTATATTTAATTTTTATGTTCTTAGGGTTTGGGAATATTTCTACATTCTGCTTTATAATTGGGTGTTATGTATTTCTTTTAAACTTGACCCTAAAACTAAATTGGCAAGACAACGATATAGCCTACAACCAAATTGCTTATTTTCAAAACACTTGGCCAATAATTAGGCTGAGTTTAAAATTATTGGGTCACATTTTTTCCTTAAGAAACTGGAGGCATTCCTTTATTGCCTTAACATTGTTGATGCTAAGAAGTGAGAAAACTGAACCTGAAATTATTTTTTTCCATCTTTCCAGGTAAATTAGTTTTATAAAGTATACTTTTTATAGTTTGAGTAGAATAATTTTGCTAAGTTTACTGACTTGTGTCAATTTTCTAGGCATGATTTGCCCTTTCAATCTAAGAATTCAAGTTTTCCTTTGTTCTGTTCAGTCTTTTTGGAATCTTATCCTAATCCATGACTTCTATTTTCCATTACTTTAGTTATATTTTTTAGGGACAACAATTATGTATATGCTGGTTTTCTCTGTCCTCTATGTCTACATTCCTTATTAGCTTTCAATTCTGCTCATTGAGTTAGGATCTATACTGAGGATTTTGGCGTGTGTCAAGTAATATTTGTAGAGATTTCAATTTGACCTTTATTTATCTAATTTTCTTTCTTCTATGTTTCTTCCCTGAGTCCACCATCTCTTGTTTCATCTTCTATTGTCTCACATCATCCTCTCTGAATTCTTATGCCATTGCTTTGAAACCTCATTGCTTTGAAACCTCATTTTAAAAGGCAATTACTTCCCTAATTTTAAAAAATTCAATATAATATGTTTGGTCATCATTTTCCTCTCATCCTTGGTAGCATTTTCTGGTGGAGGACTCTTCCAACTTCTGCTGGATTTTCCTATTATTTTCTTCCTTTTTTCTTCTTGGTAACAAAATTCTCACGCTAGTTCCTTTGGGACTGATTGACATCTGAATGATGTGAGTTTTTTCCAGACTTTCTGTATCCAAGAGGCTCATGCTGAGGGGTGGCAGGACCCACTCAGCCAGCACACTCTACCCGCATTGTGCCAGGGCTTTTAGAGTCTGGCACCTACGTTGAAGAACTGTCCTTTACCAACTTTGCCTTTGATCAGTAACCATCATGTTTCCTCTTTTCATTGTCTTGAAACATAGTTGACCGTCACTGCATTTGGGAACCCTCCATTACAGACTGATTCAGAGTTAGATATGTCACTTAGTCTTAATTCCTGTTCTCTGTGTTCTTTTGGTTGATTGCCAAAACTTCTCTATTTTAAAACAAAATTTCTGAATTGTTATTTAAAGCGATTTCTAAGAGGCCCATTTAAAATAACACAGATTTTTGGCAAATTTGAGCATATATCACCCAAAATAATTAGTATTTCCATGAGAGGCTTGTTTCCTTTTTTAACAGTATCCATCAGATGACCTAAATAACATTTAAGGCCAGTTTTTAATTAACAATGTTTTCTATTAATGTCTTCCCCAAATACAACTTTGTTCAAAATAAAATAAATGTAATAGGAGATTCTGTAGGAGTTTGAACATAAAACCGTTTCAGCTCTTTTGAGAGATAATTTTGAAGCAACATTTTGTTTAATACTCAGTATATGTGGTAAACTAAACATTGGGTTTATCTGACTACCTATCTTTATGACATAAATGAAACATGAAAAGTGTTTCATAAATGGAATGCTAAGGGGTTTTTTTGTTTCTATTTTGTTTTTTGTTTGTTTGTTTGTTTGTGTGTTTTTTGAGATGGAGTCTCGCTCTAATGCCCAGGCCAGAGTGCAGTGGCACGATCTCGGCTCACTGCAACCTCCATCTCCAGGGTTCAAGCCGATTCTCCTCTCTCAGCCTCCTGTGTAGCTGGGATTACAGGTGTGTGCCACCACACCCCGCTGATTTTTGTATTTTTAGTAGAGATGGGATTTCACCATGTTGACCAGGCTGGTCTTGAACTCCTGACCTCAGGTGATCCACCTGCCTCGGCCTCCCAATGTGCTGGTATTACAGGCGTGAGCCACCAAGCCCGGCTGCTAAGTATTCTTTAACAGCATTTAGTAGGTAGATTTTTCATCTCTTCTCTTGAAGATAATAGTAATACCATAGTCCCACATTGGTAGTGTCTCCCATCTCATGAAAATTACAGCAAAATATGCCACCAGAAATAGGATTTTCATAGATTTCCTTAATTATCTTTTAAATACTTCAATAAAGATCCTGGTATAACTGTCATCATGGCCAACATTCTTTTAGTTCCTTGTGCAACTAAGAAAGTCAATTGAGACAATTAGGGAAGAATTTCCCTATCACTGAAATATTATTTTCCTGACTTGGTTGATATTTTATTCAATTTCATTGAAGAAAATGTGGTCATATATTGGTCAGTATATTGTGGTCATATACTGGTTCACATCAGGAACAATATTTTAGGTGAAATTATAAGCAAGTATTTGGCACTTTCTCAGTATGTATAGCCAATTAATGCCAAGCTTTCAATATTAAGAAAACCCATAATTTAACATATGCTTTGAAATTTCCTATGGTGGTTCATTCAGTGACAGGATGGAAAGATACTGAATTTCTTTTAATTTGTAAAAGCAGATCTAATGTTTGAGAACTTTTACCGCCCATGGAATATGGTTCAGGATATACTGATTTACCAATAGCCAAAGCCAACATCAGAATGAGACATCTTCACATACACAGGCCAAGAAGAAAGACTCTTTATCATGATGAAGGACATGAGCACTGGCTAGGAGTGATGAGACACTGGTTACCAGCCAGAAAATGTCAGAATTTAAATTGGAGAAGAGGTGAGGTGAACAACAGGGCTCCAGTATTTCTTCAAGTTGTTCATTTTACTTCTCTGCTTCTAAGCATATTGATATAAAGTCCCAAATACACTACAGTCATATTTCCCAAAGTTTCTCCCAACATCATCATAACTGTAGTATGAAAAATGACTCCATTTTTTTTATGTTTGATTGCTTACAACGTTTAAGCCTCACCCCTCCTTCTTCCCTTTCTGCCTGACACTTGAGAAAACTGATAAGAAAACTATGGTGCCCCTTCCTTTGGTACCAGCAGGAAGTTTAAACCATGTATGGAAACCCTCACCCTGGTTTCACTCCAAGTACACCATAAAAATTCCAAACCAGGTTCCTTTCTTGGCCCTGGCTCAAGTTATTTTCAGATTTGCCTGGGAGCCTCCATGCTCTCCCCAGAAAGCCTCACTACTTATGAAATAAATCTTTTTATACCCTCTTGGGGTAAGTCAGACATCACTGGTCCCAACATCTGAATGAATTTTGGGTGTGTGTCCATCCTATGTACACAGAATGTTAACAACAGTAATAAACCCAACATCATCATGACAGGTAAAGAGTTTCTGGTTAATTTTTCTCATTTATTATTTGAGGTCCAACTTTTCTTATGGAATAGGCAATACAAGCATCCTCTGTGGTGGCCCTGCTTTGTTGGTAATTTTGCATCCACTGTAGCATAGCATTATTTTCTTATGCACGCGCTTAAATTACTCTGAGATGGAAACAAAATCTAAATTTCATGTCTTTGACACTATGTAAATACTGTACTATATAGGATGTATGTATGTAGTTTTACCACCCTTCTGCTGCCCTTCCTATTCTAACCATACACAGCACATCACATACACAGACATACATATATGATCCGTCTTACACAATATCACTTCCAACTGAGATAAAGAACAACCCAAAGGCTAACCAGAAAGGATTATGCATACTCACTGAGGAACATTACCTGAGTATACAGTTAAGTGAATGGAAACTGCAGATGAAAGTTTCCTAAATCACCTAGTGATGCCTTGAATAAATTGCCACAAGAAGTATCTTAAAATCACTGGCAAACACCTACTGGTGAACATTAAACCTGGAATGTATTCTACAGCTTTTTAGAGGCACAACCAGGGTTTCATAATGCATGAATATTAATGCATCTTCTTATTATCTCAATGATAGCCTGCCCTGCTTTTGTGATGTATTGCACCTTATTGCTGGATCCCTACTGATTTACAATGAGTGATGGACTGTTTTATTATTAAGTAAGGAAATTGGGCATGTCTCAGAATAAAGAAGCATTTAGAGAAAGACACCTGAATCATCTGAATACAGAAATATACACAATCAAAAAGTACCTTTCCAGGCAAGTTCTGCAGAGTTTCAAAAAGTGTGTTAACAAATACAAATAAATATGATGTGCCCCAGTACGATTTGCTTTCCACCACATTGAATTGTAATTTAGAATAAATGGAAAAAATGAGAATGATCACTGGTTTTGCTGAGCAAGAAGCCAGCAGAAAAAAAAATATTTACACCATCTTCTAGCATGCCATTCCTTATGGGTGGCTAAATTATCAAACTATATTAGCCCAATATTATATGATTGAGCATTTATTTTTGCCTGAAAGAATGAGTAGCTTTCAGGATGCATACCGTCTCTGCTTTGTTAACATGGATAACTGATCATTACTAGAGAAAGTAATTATGTACGATATACCATAATATAACGGCTCTGAAAATGTATACAGGGATGGAGAGCTAATAGAAAGAAAAATAAAGGATGTGTTCAGAAATGTGATCATAAAAAATATTATCCACAAAGGAGCCCTTGGAACACACAAAAAAGCAAATATTTTCTCAAAGGGAAAATAAATCTCATCTTAAAGATCCTCAGCATTCCAGTTTTCTAAATGAAATGCCTACTACATGCTATCCCTAATGATGGAGCCAAAAGAGTTAGCTCAGTCTCCCAGGTCCTGCACCACTAGGTAGCCTGCCATTTTGTTTGCATAATACCACTTATCAAAATGGTTCAGCCAGCTCTATTGGGTGACAAACCCAAATCTGTAGGCTAATGTGCGGAAGATAACTATAGGCTTGATGTTTGTTTCTAACGTTAGGAAATGGCAAGTCCAAGAAAAGACTGGTAACTCAACCATCTGACATAACCATAACCATTTTCAGAATTTGAAAGATTAAGAAGTAAGGGAACTAGCCAGTAACATGGTTTGTAAGTTTGAGTAAGCACTGCTTCTATATTTTATTGTTGCTTGAAAGCAGATATAATTATAATGTTATGGAATGAGTGTTTCAGTGATATTCATAATAGAAAACTTAGAAATTTAAAAGCAACGACCTAAATGTGTACCTTTGTAAAAAGAAATCCTACTTAGCATTCAGTGTCTAAAAATAAAGCCAAATATTTTTATTTAAGATATAAGTGAAATATCAGCTTTAGGACATATTTTTAAGATTACATCAAGTAAAAGTGTTTTAGTCAAACCGTTTCATTTTCTGTTGTTTTGTTAATATATCCGATGTAATTACATATCCAAGATATTTTCATTTTACTTTTCTGATATTTTTCTGTATTGAAGCATATGGTTACATCTTTGATCTCTGCTGCATCTGTTGATAGTTTATTTTTTTCACATGGTTTATTTGTACTCTTTTAATCTGGATTAATCTTATATTTGTTAGTTTTATTAGCCTTTCAGATAACAAATTTTGTATATTTCGATCCTCTATATAGTACCTTTATTTTTATTAATTCTGCTCATATCTTTATTTGCTTCCTAATATATTTTTGACTGATTTACCTGTTCTTTTGTTTTTCTAAATTCTTAATGCTTAATGCTTACATCTTCAGTGCTTTTTCTTTTCCACCATAAGCACTATGATGGTGGATTTAACAATTAGCATATTCTGTCAACTTATTCTTTCTTTTATTTTTTCTTTTAAAGAGGCATAGTTTTGCTCTGTTGCCCAGGCTGGAGTGCAGTGGCACAAATCATAGCTCACTGCAGCCTCGAATTCCTGGGCTCAAGCAATCCTTCTGCCTAAGCCTTCCAAGTAGCTTGGACTACAAAGTATGTGTCACCATGCCCAGTTATTTATTTATTTATTTATTTATTTATTTATTTATTTATTTATTTATTTTAGAGACAGGGTCTTGCTATGTTGCACATGCTGGTCTCAAACTCCTGGCCTCAAGTGATCCTTCTGCCTTGGCCTCCCTGGTAGTTGAGATTACAGGCATGAGCTACCATATCCAGCCTAATTTATTCTTTATAAATTTTGAAAGTATGTTATATGGTACATACAAGTTTAAAATTGTTACATGTTCATTAGGTAGTATCTTTCTTTAATCCTAAAAATGCTTTGTTTCCTGTCAAAAGTCTATTTTGCTAGACAGCAATATAACTATATCAACTTTGTTTTAGGTTGTATTTTCCTGGTATATGTTTTCCAGGCATTATTACTTTACGTTTTAAACATGACTCTGAGAACAGTATATGTGAGATGGAATTCCGAGAATGACCTCCTATGGCTCTTGCTCTTGTGTAATCCTCTTTCCTTTAGTTCTGGGTGGAACCTGTGACTATGATGAGCAGCAAAAGAAAGATTATTGGGTGGTACTAATTTACTCATATGAGTCCTTTAAAAAGCAGTAGAAGTCAGCGATATTGGAAGCTAGAGAGGGATTCAATGCAGGGATGCTCTCCTTTGCTGACATGGAATAGACAATTTGAAAAGACCTAAGGTGGCCAGGGCCATTTCCAGAAAGGAAACAGGGACCTCAGCCCTACAAGCAAAAGGAACTGAATTCTGCCAACAAGCTGAATGAGCTGGGAATCAGGTTTTTCCTGGCTCCTCCAGGAAAGAGCCAAGTCTGGCCAATAATTGATTTCAGATTTATGAGAACCTAAGTAGAGAACCCAGTGGAGCCCACATAGACTTGACCTACAGAAGAGTGAGCTATCAAATGTGTCTTGTTTAATGCTGTTAAGTTTATGGTAACTTGTTATGCAGCAGTAGAAAACTAATGCACAGCATATAGATGGAAATGTTTTAAGCTAGCCTGCTAATCTTTGCTCTTTAACAGAAAAATTACATTAATTGTGCTTACTAACATAATTTTTTCTACCACTTCATTTTATATGCTCCTGTGCTCAAACTTTTCTTTGTGCTTTCTTTCAGATTAATTGAGATTTTATTTTTGACAGGGTCTTCCTCTGTCACCCAGGCTGGATGCAGTGGCTCAATCCGGGCTCACTGCAACCTCGGCCTCCTGGGCTCAAGTGACCCTCCTGCCTCAGCCTCCCAAGTAGCTGGGACTACAGGTGTGTGCCATGCCACCATGCCCGAATAATATTTGTATCTTTTGTAGAGACAGGGTTTCCTCATGTTGCCCAGGCTGTTCTCGAACTCCTGAGCTCAAGCAATCTGCCTGCCTCAGCCTCCCAAAATGCTGGGATTACAGGCTGGGATTAAGTGGATTAAGTGCTGGGATTATACCACACCCAGCCCTGAGATTTTATTTTCATTTCATTTCTTCCTTTCTTCTATATTGGTTTGGATTTCTATTCACTAGGAAGTTGTCCTAAAAATTTCACTCTGCATACTTAAATTAGCAAAACGGAACTAATCAATATCACCATTCTACTGCCACCAATTTGAAAAATTTGTGATTATTTAACCCTCCTTCCCAAATATTATGGAAATTTTTCCAGAATTTCAGTTCCATTTGACTTTTATTAACACTTGCTTAAGCTTTTTCCGAAAGAAATCACTATGGTAGCTGTTTAATATGATAAATGTTTGCTTACATTTAAAAACATATTAAACATATTCTCTATCTTTTTCTGACATGCTCTTTAACCCACAACTGAACTTTTCATTTCAATCATTTAAAATTTGTATTCCTAAAAGTGCTGTTTGGGTCATTTTCAAATGGTTCAGTCTTTCATTCCTCACCCATATTTTCAATTTCCTCTTTATTTATTTGCATATATTACTTTATGTTCTATATAGATAATTCTAATAATTAAAATCTTTGTGGGTCTGATTCTGCTAGTTGTATTTACTGCTGTTTCTCATGACACTTGTTTCTGTGTTTTGTAATTTTTGATTATGCAGTCATGTTTATCAGTAATTTATTTGTGGAGATATTTTAAGGACTGATTTGTTAGTGTGTTCCCTCAGAGAGAATTTTTGCTTCGTTCTGTGAAGGGACTAAGGAAACTTCCAACCTGGGATCTCTCCAAAATAAATTTTTATGTGGAGTTTTTTAAGCCTACAGGTAGTGAGACTTTGGGCCATCAACTCACTTGAGGAACAGAATATTATGAATTCTCAGGGGATACTTTATGTTTTCCTCTCTCTAGGATCTCTGACAAGACAACCAAGTTTCCAAAGCACCTTTTTTATTTAAGGTAGTTTTTTGCTTTTTCAGTGAGAGTGTAGCTATTCAAGGTTCCTGGCCTTATATCAGTTGCTTCTGATTTGACAACAGGCTTTGTCTGAGCCCTTGGGTTTTGTTTCACATGAGTGAAAAAACAAGTGCTCTAAGTCATTAGCATTGGCAGATGCCCTCAAGCCAGTCACAGTCCTACTCATTACCTGTCTGGGTTTGAGTCACACTTTATTTTTGGTCTCTAAAGATATCCTTTACTTTTGTACAAAAGACCATGGTTTTGAAAAGATTGCTGTTTTACTTATCCGTCTGTTTTATTTTAAAAAATTATATAGCCAAAGTGTTTTGTATTGGGAAATTGTTGCTGTTGCTTTTTCCTGGTTATCTTGTCCACTGTATTCTTAGGAACAGTTCAATTTGTCCATACTCTTTCTCTCACCCTCATTTTAGCACTGTAGAACACAAGATGTTTTAACAGAGAATTCAAGTTTTCATCATTAGTCCTAGAAAGATATTCTTAAAGTCCAGAAATAATTAATTATAGAAAGAATACAGATATTTAATGATTTTCAAAGGTGCACAGCCAAATAAACCCTACAGATTCTAAGTCTGGTTATACTTGAGAAGTGTCTCCCCTCCCAACACATACCTCAATTCTACCTTTATTTCTCTGAAGAAGGGAAAGGCTAACCAAGTTTTCACTTTGTACCTTTTAGGACCTACAATATATTTATTGACAACTAATTAACATATTTTTCCATGATCCAGGCATTACTATGTTCCCAATTTTATAGAACAGGAAAATATAACCAGACAGCTTGGAGAGGCTTGATAGCTGGTTCAGTGTCACAGTACAGCAGAGCCAGGATGCAGATTAAATACAATCATGCCTGATCCCAAAGTCCAAGCTCTTAGCAAATGGATTCTGTGTGTATTTCACTAATGTTAACAATATTTAATGAAGTAATATTTTTTCAAACTAATTATTTTATATTTTCAGATTTTTTGTAAAAACATTTTATTTATTCAGTGCATTCAACCAATACTTCACCTATATTAAATATACAATAACTTTCAAAGGACTCTTGGAAACTTCAGTTCATTTGTACTCATCACCATTCAGTGTCACCCCAGTTTGACAATCTTTATTTCACAAATGGTGAAGCAGGCACAGAGAAGTTTCATGATTTGCACAGAACAATTTAGCACTGCAGCCAAATTAGTCCATTTTATTTGGTCTTCTCCCTTCGCTTATACTAGCATTTGGAAAATGGTAATCTCCTTATGAAAACACCAAAAACAGTAAGCATCCAGTAGGTCCTGAAAGGCAGTGCAATCAGAACAGGAATCACATGTCTAAGCCTCACGTGCAGAGGACCTCGGGTTCTGGGAGTGGACCACTGGCTCAGCTGCTGAAGACCTCACTGATGGAGAAGGAGTGAGGGTGACATTTGACCACCCTGCACCCTTTATCCCAAACCCACTTCCCACATTACTGGTATACTCCTCTAAGATTGAGTATATATCACTAGAGGGAAGCTTATAAAAATAAGTGTTTATCAAAATAAGTGTGATTAGTACCAATCCTACCCTTATACATTAAATTTAATGCTTAAAGCTGACTCTGGTCTTACATACATCAATAAAATTTGTATCCCTTGACCTTTTACATTTGCTCATAGGATTTACAAAATGTCTATATATTTTATAAAAGTATTTATTAAATATTTTCCCATTTAAGGTTTTTTTGACCAGCACACATTGAATGTATTCTATTACTTATAGAAAAAAATGTAGTAGTTCAATTCAATTTAAAACAATATTCAGTTTACTAAATACTCATGGATTATTAATTCTGTGCCCCTCCACTAAGCATTGTGATAGCTCATTGACTCGCATCCTTGGAACAGTGAGCCCTGCATTCGTGACATGATTGTTGTGAGACCTGGATGAGGTACTATTTTAAATGACCCAATATGTATGGTCATTATTATATAAGGTGAGCATACAGAGTTTCTGCCCTCAAAAAATTTAGAATCAGTAAAATATATTCAAATCATCTGAGTAGGACAGAACAAAATGTCAACTGAAGCCATTACTACAACTCTACCATGTCTTATTCAAAACTTATTGAGACCAGATACCCTTTAAGATCTAAAATTCTTTAGATTCTAGAAGAGAAAATGGTATATATACAGCTATATGTATATAGTTTATAGATAGATAAATGATTGATACATAGATAGACAGACAGACAGACAGACAGACAGACAGATAGATAGATAGACATGGTTTGGCTGTGACCCTACCCAAATTTTATCTTGAATTGTAGTTCCTATAATCCCTACATGCCATGGGAGGGACCAGTTAGAGATAATTGAATCATAGGAGTGGTTTCTCCCATCCTGCTCTCGTGATAGTGAGTTAATTCTCAAGAGATCTGATGGATTTTATAAGAGGCTTCCCCCTCTGCTGGGCACTCATTCTTCTTCTTCCTGCCATCACGTGAAGAAGGATGTGTTTGCTTCCCCTTCCACCATGATTGTAAGTTTCCTGAGGCCTCCCTAGTCACGCTGAGTTGTGAGTTAATTAAACCTCTTTCTTTATAAATTACCCAGTCTCAGGTATGTCTTTATTAGCAGTGTGAGAATAGACTAATATATATATATAATATATATTAGCATAGACTACTATATATAGTATATATATTACTAGTATATATATTACATATATACTTTATATATATATGTATGTATGTATCTCTCTCTATATATAGAGAGAGAGTGCACATATACAGTTTATCAAGTAAAACTTCCATAAGAAATACATTCATGCTTCGGTAACAAAACACATATCTCTTCACACTTGTTGGGATAAATACAGATCATGAAAAGCCTCATGTCAGTTCAGATATGGTTGTGCCAGAAACTGGATGAGGGCTGGGCAGGTTTCATGAAGCCTTATTTTTTTCTTTTTTGGCTTTCAACGTTTTCAAGATTTCAGAATTGTGAATAAGGAGCTGTAAATCTCAGAAGTGTGTTTAACTGACACAGTTACTTATCCTCTATTTTCTTCTCCACATTTTCCATTTGTCTAGACCTGAAGTTAAGTGGGTTCTCTTTCTGTAGCAACTACAAGTCAGCAACAGGCATCAGAATCACCTGAGCAATGCTCCTGGCACACAGTTGCCGAGCCTCACCCCAGGGCATTTGGGTTCTATGAAGTAGAACCCAGAACTCTGTATTTTTTCTAAATTTCTACAGATGATTTGCTATACACCCTTCATTGAGAAGCATAGCTTGAAGAGACAATATACTAAAATTTATTTTTGCTTTATAGCTATGTGGCTTAATAGCATAAGAAATTCAACAAACAAGATTATTTCGTGTAAAATTAACCACTCTCCAAATCCAAAGTTGCCTTTCCCAAAACCTTAGCATTTTGAGTGCTACTAAAAAATATTAGGCTATTACAAAAGTGGCAGAACAAAAATGGCCATTCTTTCAGTGACCATTTTCATTATTACTTTCCCTAGATGGACACTTCCATACTCTGAATCCATACTGTGCGCACAGTTCATGTGGACCAATCCTTGGCCTACAGCTGTTCTAGTTTGTCATCTCTTCTTACTTAATTGAGCAATTTAATCATATTTTGGCATAGGCCTGTGAACCTTCTGTCAAAAAATCATGCTTGGTTACTGGTCATGTAAAAACAGGTAACTCCACAATTTCATATAATTTTCAGCCATCTCATCTAGCATATAATTTCCAAGACTTTAGAAGAAATGACTTAAACTATGTATTTGTATTTATAAAACTATTTTTTTCTATAATCACTACTATATCTCCTTGGAGTGATGCAGAAAAGTTGATTTTACAGGACTTCTAAGTTCTCTCCTTAAGTACTGAGGAATGGCAATATATTGCTTGCTTCACTTTGCCTGTTTAAGGCTTCTGAACCTTTTTACTTCCCTTTTACGTAAACGATCTTTAAGTTCTGCAGGTTACTGAGGTTTTTGTTTTGTTCTGGAGGAGACACAAGGCAAAAGTTTATTTTTTCTTTCAGATGTAGCATGCTGTCATCTCCTTTTGCACATAACAAGTAAGTTAATAAAATTCATACTCATGATAACATGAGCCTAAGGTAAATACTTTTATTGCCTGGAGGGTACTATTGTATAGAAGCAAATCTAACATTCTTTTAGCATCTCTAGCTTCTCAAAGCCATTCTCACATATCTTTATATTCTTTTTCACTGTGATAGCTAATCCTTTCATACTGAAGAGAGAAATATCATTTTCTGCAGTAACACTGGATTAAAAGAAAGATTCTTAGCAAACATATATAGTTGAAATAAGAATTAAGAATGCAAAATAAGTCTATTCTGAATGATGGCAATGATGTGGATATTGGAGTTATTCATTCATATATTTAATAAGTATTAAAAATTAAACATATAGTTAAAAGAAATAAGACATATTGTTTGACAGATCAATAGGGTGACTATAGTTAATAATAATCTAGTGTACATTTCAAAATAGCTAGAAGAGAATAATTCAAATATTCCTAGCATAAAGAAAAGATAAATATTTAAGGTGGTATATATCCCAATTACCCTGATTTGATCTTTACACATTATATGAATGTATCCAATTATCATGTGTACCCTGAAAATATGTACATCTATTATGTACCAATAAAAAATTAATTTGTTACATGCTAAAGCACTTTTCTAGACTGGGGCTACATCAATAAAAACAAACGAAAATTACAGAGTTTACATTCTAGTGGGAAGAAAATACTTAAACAGTAAACACAATAAATAAGTTCCATAATATGTTACAAGGCAACAAATGACATGAAAAAAAAGAAAAAGAATTAAGCCTGCTAAGACAAATGGGAGTGCTGTGGGAGGTGGGAGCAGAGGAGGGGGATGGTTGCAATTGTACTTGGGGTGGTAAGGCTAAATTTATTGAGAAGATGACATTTGAGCAAAATGGACAGCAGGTGGGAGATATTATATACAAAAAACAGAGCAGTAGGAGCAAGGAAGCTTGTTACTAAAGTGCGTTGATTATCTCTATCTATCCACTGACCTCTGAAGACAAGAGATAAGATATAACTGGTACCTGACAAGAACCTCCTTTGCTCTCTGGCCCCCAGGAATGGCATAGTTAGGGCTGACTTACTCTAGAAACCACAATAATCTTCCAATACTCTCAGATCCTGTCTCATTATCAAGTTATGGGCCCCTTGAAACAGTTAAGCAATAAGATGTAGCAAGACTAAAATTGGTACCAGAAAAACAATAAGGAAAAATGGATCAGGATTAGCTGCAAAAGATAAGCAGAAAGGCAAAGCTGAAATCACTTATTGGATGTTCAGATAGAAGATGATCAAAGTCATTGAAAGAGAAAACAGATTTGCAGGCCTAAAAGAGAACCCCAAATCAGCAATAGATAATAGATATGGACATGTAAGTAGCTCACACTGGCCAGCTTATTTAATGTGATCTTTAAGTCTTGTGTTTATGCCTTTCTGCCTCATTAAGGTTATCTACAACTATTTTATTGTATTTTATATCCCCCTTTCAAATGTGTCCTAGAAGAGGCTCTAGGTACATCTTACAAATACCAGGTTGGATTCTCTTAATCCATTCTCAGAGCCACCTGAAAAAAGCTGTTATTTCATCAAATGCTCTTGAAATAGAAAGTCTGCTGTATCCATTCTTCCTTAGAGGTAGTGAATAGATAGATCAATGGTAAGTAAATCATTGGTGGCAGCTCCATATGAGTCACTTAGGATATTACAGAGGGTCTCTAATATCCTAAGAGATATTACAGAGTGTGTACTGTACCCCTTACCTGAAGCAGCCATCTAAAAAAACAAATACTGGTGGCCAAAAGGGTTATTTCAGGAGATGACTGAAACATTAGGACATGGTGCTTTGCCTGAGAAGTGGCTGCTTCCTTGATTTAATCCCATTTATAACTCAAGACCCAGCACAAATGCAACATATCCATTGTCTCCATTAGACTGTGAAATTCCTCCAGGTTAGAGATCCCATCTTATTCAATCTGAATTTCCTTAGCACATAGTATTAATGCAAAAACATTACTGAGTGCTAAGCATTAAAAATATATAGCTGTTGTCCCAGGGACTTTCAAACATTTGATAAGTGATTAAATTAACAAGTGAATATCAGGCTAACAGCACAAGTTCTAAAAGGCATAATATGAAGAACTATACAGTCAGAGCTATGCTTACAGGGAATAATATAAAATAGTATATTTTTTAAAAATAGAGAAATAAGAATTTTGTTTTGATAAGCATATAGATCAAAAAACAGATGAAAATATTAAAGATCATGATGACCTTGATTTTTTTCCCATTTACATTTGTCCATCTGGATTAGACTGATATGGAGGAAATAAATAAGCAAATATAAGTCTGGATATAATGAAAAAGCACATATATATTAAATAGTTATAAGAAGCCTCCCTAGTGAGAGTCCATCTGTGCAAGAAACTAATACGTAGTAGAAAACTTGTCTGCCTTGAGAATTAAGTAAGGATGGCTAAATATAAAATTACTGCTGGTTTAACATAAGATTATTTTATACATACTCCCAGGTTCTCCCACTGTTGAAATGACTCCCAAGGAATAGGGTAGGCCTGCTTAAAGGTAGGGTAACTGCTTCAGGGAATCACTACCGTGTAAACTCTCAAGAATTTAAATGTTAATGTGCTTCCAAAGCACCAAGAACACATGCACAGGACAACGATGCTTTGGGACAATGGAGACAAAATCCATTTTGCTTTTTTAGTGCCATTATGGTCTAAATTTTTATGTATAAATTATTAACTTTTATTCCTTTTTTTCTTTCACAGGATCATTATAAAGTGAAGAGTGCTAAGGTAGTCCTAATATTAGACACAGTAAAATTAGTCTTCCAGGATATACCATGTGGTAACTCAAAGTTACATGAAACTGAGCAGAGTTATGACTATTGCTAGATTTTTTAAACATATGCTCCTTGCAAAAATAGGCTATTGTGAGAGTAAATCATTCTCATTTTCACCTATCCCTTTCCATAGGAAAACTGGTTACGTGTGACACAACATATGGAGATGTTTGGCAGTAATTCACACATGTATGCTGCCCTCTCTGCATCTTTCCATGTGCATTTAACAGCTCAGAGAGAATTTGCAAAGTTGGCTATCAATTAAACAAACAAGTTGTAGAATGAAGGATATCTGCCTCCCTAGACCAGTCTTGCTCGGTTTGCCAACCCTGGCTTTCTGGAGGAAACAAATCTTCTGATTACTTTCTTTGAGGCATAAGATTCCTTGGAAAGGCAAGTCAAAAGGAGTTCCTGAGCTGTCAGTATTGGTCCTGGAAGGGCTTCCAGTAATATCTTTAAGAGCAGATGTCAAAATCCTAACCACATCTCATTATCAGGACTCCCAATGGCCCTTTTCACAAAAGTGGAGGTTTTGGCAGAGGTTCTAGCCAAATCATTTGCTGATCATTCTGCATTCCACCTGCTGAAACACCTTTAGGAATTTCTATTGGATATGTTATTATTTTCTGTCACAAATTGCTACAGAACATTCTGATTACATGTTTTAAAAGTGCTGCTTTGGGTTAGAATGGGTGGTAGAATGCATGTGAGAAAAGGCACTAATAATAACACTATAAGAAAGTAGGAGCACGTGTGTGTGTGTGTGTGTGTGTGTGTGTGTGTGTGTGTGTGTGTGTATGTCTTTTAGGTCTGAAAATGAGCAGAACTATATAAACTGTTTCATCTTCAGCATTAACCAGACCATATTTTCTTGAGCATCATGTTAAAAAGAAGTAAAAAGACCCCAAATCCATGATAGAGCAAAGACCATCTACTTGATTCAGAGAATAGAGCACCACTAAGTCAGTGCTATTCATTGCACATGGTGAAATACTGGAATATTTGTATCATGAAAACTAGGAATAATTTTACCAACTAGTAAAACATGGCTAAATAATATGTATACAATATAAATTCACAACCATAAATAGGAGTTCATGAGAAAAACAAAGGCTTTTTTTAAGCACCAATGTCTTTTCCTAACGATTTTTGCTTTGTTTTGTTATTTTTAATAA
Organism: Homo sapiens; assembly: GCF_000001405.40. Lineage (NCBI taxonomy): Eukaryota > Metazoa > Chordata > Mammalia > Primates > Hominidae > Homo > Homo sapiens. The sequence continues at coordinate 44,185,491 of NC_000012.12, read as the reverse complement.
CTCACTTTTCTGTTCTGCTTTTTATAGACTAGCTCTTCTTAGAAGATATGCAACAACAGGTGGCAAAATCTGAAATATAACTTAGAGGACAAAGGTTTGAAATTGGGAATTTTTATCACTGTATTTTTTCTATAAATAGGAAAAAATCTTTATCTAATTTTCGTGATGGAACATTTTGATTCAGCTTATGACCTCAGCTTAGAAACCATTGTTCCTTCAACCATTGTTTCAGCAATCATGCTTTGTATTACTACCAGGACTAGATACTAGAAAAGTCACTGATAATGCAAAGTAAGAAAAGATGTCAGCTCTTATCAAAAGGCATTTAAGGCTGAAGGGGAATACAGACAAATAAATCAATGATTACCTGTATATAAATTCAAAGATTGAGCTGTAAACAGGTTTCTATTGCAGTGCAGAGTAAGAGCACCTAAATTACACTCAACCCTATTGAGGGAAGCTTCCTGAAAGAGGTGACATGGTTATTTCAAAGACTGAGTAGGGCTTACCTTAAGGAATAAGAAAAGCACCATCTAGGCAGAGGGAGGCGTACAAGCAAAAAGGTACGAGTACTTGGCATAGGAAGTTATGCTTACATATGTTTGAGATTGCATTAGTTTTCTATTGTTCCTGGAACAAATTACCACAAATTAAATGGCTTAAAACAACATGCATTTTCTAGCTCACAGTTGTGTAGTCAGAAAATGAGGTAAATTATAAAACCAGGAACAGAAAACCAGAAAAGCCACAAAGTGAAACAGGGTATAAGCAGAGCTGAGTTCCTTTCTGGAGGCTCTAGGAAAGGATCGCTTTCAAGACATTCTGGTTGTTGACAGAATTCAGTCCCATGCAGCTGTAGGACTGAGGTCCCCATTTCCTGGTAAGCTGTAAGCTGGGGTTTTTCTCTGCTTCTAGAGGCTGCCTGCTTGGTCCCCTTCTACCATCTTCAAGGCACGTCATGATGAGCCAACTCCCTTTCATGCTTTGAATCTCCCTGGGCTCCCCTCCCCATCTGCCCCATATCTCCTGCTGCATCTCCCTAACTCTTCTGCCTTTTTCTGCTGCATTTCAGGGCTTATGTGATCACAGTGGGCTCATCCAAACAATCCAGGCTAATTTCTCTACTTTTTTATTTTACTTTATTTTTGAAATGGAGTCCCATTCTGTCACCCAGTCTGGAGTGCAATGGCATGATCTTTGCTCTTGCAGCCTCCATCTCCCAGGTTCAAGTCATTCTCCTGCCTCAGCTTCCCAAGTAGCTGGGATTACAGGCACCTGCCACCACACTGGGCTAATTTTTGTATTTTTAGTAGAGACGGGATTTCGCCATGTTAGCCAGGCTGTTCTCAAACTCCTGACCTCAAGTGATCCGCCCGCCTCAGCCTCCCAAAGTGCTGGGATTACAGGTGGAAGCCACTGCACCCGGGCCAGTTTCTCTGCTTTAAGGTCAGCTGATTAGTAACCTGAATTCCATCTGCAAAGTCCCTTCCCAGCAGTATCTAGATTGGTGTTTGGTTGAAGAACCAGGGGACAGGAATGCTGGGGGACATGTTTAGAATTCTACCTACTGCAGGGATGTGGATTTTAGGCCTTGGCTTGGGAAGGTCTTGCTGCGTGTGAAATGTGAGGGAAGTAGTCAATCAATGAATACGTAGAAAAGAGGGATTCTATCAAATGGGCTATTAGCTATCAACTCCCTCACTGTTTTATGTGATACACCCAGGCCGAACATGCAGTCCCGCCCCCTTTCCCACCTCTTCTTTCAGCACACTAGGCTACTCAGTTGCATATTAATCCTTTGAGACCTTATTCCTTATGCAGCTTGCCTTTGATCCTATTTTTAAAACCCACTTTCACTTGCACAAAATCATTCTGTGTGATCTCTAGGCTTGCTACTGGTCTCTAAAATAAGTTTTCCCAGCCCCCTTAATGAAGGCCACAGCACAGCACTCTCTAAGATTGTCCAGTTAATGTTTACATCAAACAATATAGTGATAATTGTGCAGGAACCAGGCAAAAACATGTTAAGCACATACCTTTAGTATAGCTAAGGTACTTTATAAAGCACTTTATAATTAATCACACCCAGCTTCATGTCACCTAAAAATGTAAGTATTCTCAATTAACAGCTATGCAAAGTAAGTATCCAAAATTAAGAGAGCAATGCATTTACTAAGATCACACCACAGTGTACTCTCACACATGCAACAACTATATTGACATACATACAATAATAGGGAATGTCTAAATAAACAATGGCATTTTTATATCCTTACTAAATATAGTCATTAGATAATAATTATCCTATATGAATGGAAAATATTAGAAATACACCAAAATTTTTACTGTAATTATCCCTAGCTGAGGATTATTGGCAATTTTTTCTTTATAAATTTCTAAATTTTCTAAATCCAAAATGATTTTACATATATGCCTCTGTATGCATGTGTGAAAGAAAAACAAAACAATTGCTGCTTATAAATGATTATAATGATGTTCATTGGATTATTTTATTATCCTTAAATATGAAAAAATCAAGTAAAGGTATGTACTAAGATAGAGAAGGCAACTAATAGATGTAGAAAGTTATTTTAAAGTAACAGTTTGGATTAAAAGCGTTTTTTGTTTAACTACACATCAAATGAAGTTATTTCTGCATACAAGATGGAGGTGCTACTGACCGACTCATCACACTTTTGCCAATCAGTACAACTAAGCTATGAGGTACCTGCATCCACTTGCTGAAATTCAGGTTAACTCTAGATATGGCAGGGGATATATGTCTGAATTATCCACTAGGCTTTTTTTCCTGAGCTTTCATAACAATTCTACAATGGCTGAAAACCTTTAAGTATGTAGAGAGACATGATAAGATGTCAGGTAGTTCTTTCAGTATGATATTGGCTGTGGGTTTGTCACAGATAGCTCTTATTATTTTGAAATACGTCCCATCAATACCTAATTTATTGAGAGTTTTTAGCATGAAGCGTTGTTGAATTTTGTCAAAGGCTTTTTCTGCATCTATTGAGATAATCATGTGGTTTTTGTCTTTGGCTCTGTGCACAAGACAGGGATGCCCTCTCTCACCACTCCTATTCAACATAGTGTTGGAAGTTCTGGCCAGGGCAATTAGGCAGGAGAAGGAAATAAAGGGTATTCCATTAGGAAAAGAGGAAGTCAAATTGTCCCTGTTTGCAGATGACATGATTGTATATCTAGAAAAACCCATTGTCTCAGCCCAAAATCTCCATAAGCTGATAATCAACTTCAGCAAAGTCTCAGGATACAAAATCAAGGTACAAAAATCACAAGCATTCTTATACACCAACAACAGACAAACAGAGAGCCAAATCATGAGTGAACTCCCATTCACAATTGCTTCCAAGAGAATAAAATACCTAGGAATCCAACTTACAAGGAATGCAAAGGACCTCTTCAAGGAGAACTACAAACCACTGCTCAAGGAAGTAAAAGAGGATACAAACAAATGGAAGAACATTCCATGCTCATGGGTAGGAAGAATCAATATCATGAAAATGGCCATACTGCCCAAGGTAATTTACAGATTCAAGGCCATCCCCATCAAGCTACCAATGCCTTTCTTCACAGAATTGGAAAAAACTACTTTAAAGTTCATATGGAACCAAAAAAGAGCCCGCATCGCCAAGTCAATCCTAAGCCAAAAGAACAAAGCTGGAGGCATCACACTACCTGACTTCAAACTATACTACAAGGCTACAGTAACCAAAACAGCATGGTACTGGTACCAAAACAGAGATATAGATCAATGGAACAGAACAGAGCCCTCAGAAATAACGCCACATATCTACAACTATCTGATCTTTAACAAACCTGACAAAAACAAGCAATGGGGAAGGGATTCCCTATTTAATAAATGGTGCTGGGAAAACTGGCTAGCCATATGTAGAAAGCTGAAACTGGATCCCTTCCTTACACCTTATACAAAAATCAATTCAAGATGGATTAAGGACTTAAACGTTAGACCTAAAACCATAAAAACCCTAGAAGAAAACCTAGGCATTACCATTCAGGACATAGGCATGGGCAAGGACTTCATGTCTAAAACACCAAAAGCAATGGCAACAGAAGACAAAATTGACAAATGGGATCTAATTAAACTAAAGAGCTTCTGCATAGCAAAAGAAACTACCATCAGAGTGAACAGGCAACCTACAGAATGGGAGAAAATTTTCGCAACCTACTCATCTGACAAAGGGCTAATATCCAGAATCTACAATGAACTCAAACAAATTTACAAGAAAAAAACAAACAACCCCATCAAAAAGTGGGCAAAGGACATGAACAGACACTTCTCAAAAGAAGACATTTATGCAGCCAAAAAACACATGAAAAAATGCTCATCATCACTGGCCATCAGAGAAATGCAAATCAAAACCACAATGAGATACCATTTTACACCAGTTAGAATGGCAATCATTAAAAAGTCAGGAAACAACAGGTGCTGGAGAGGATGTGGAGAAATAGGAACACTTTTACACTGTTGGTGGGAATGTAAACTAGTTCAACCATTGTGGAAGTCAGTGTGGCGATTCCTCAGGGATCTAGAACTGGAAATACCATTTGACCCAGCCATCCCATTACTGGGTATATACCCAAAGGACTATAAATCATGCTGCTATAAAGACACATGCACACATATGTTTATTGCGGCATTATTCACGATAGCAAAGACTTGGAACCAACCCAAATGTCCAACAATGATAGACTGGATTAAGAAAATGTGGCACATTACACCATGGAATACTATGCAGCCATAAAAAATGATGAGTTCATGTCCTTTGTAGGGACATGGGTGAAATTGGAAATCATCATTCTCAGTAAACTATCACAAGAACAAAAAACCAGACACCGCATATTCTCACTCATAGGTGGGAATTGAACAATGAGATCACATGGACACAGGAAGGGGAATATCACACTCTGGGGACTGTTGTGGGGTGGGGGGAGGGGGGAGGGATAGGATTGGGAGATATACCTAATGCTAGATGACGAGTTAGTGGGTGCAGCGCACCAGCATGGCACATGTATACATATGTAACTAACCTGCACAATGTGCACATGTACCCTAAAACTTAAAGTATAATAAAAAAAAAAAAAGATGTCAGGTAGTTCTTTTACATCGTTGTTTACAAAATCTTACTGGACAAGATAGAGGAACATGAGCTGCATGTGGCTTAATGAGGGAATATTAATGATGATGATGATGACGATGATGATGATGATGATGGTGATGGTGATCACAGCAGCGATACACTGTCTACCATAAATGTGTGCTCTCACCAACTGTTAACACTGGGAACTGGCTGCCCAGTCAGGGGCCACATTTTTTGGTGCCTTTTTTGAAGCTAGGTGAGGCCATGTGATTAGTGCTCCTCATTGGAATGTGAGTTGAAGTGATTTATTTCACTTCTAGGTGGTGTTAGTTATAAACCTTCTTTTTTATTTTCTTCTGCCTAGATAAAGAAGACACTGAGGCCCTAAGGGGTGGCAGAGCTACCAAATAAAAAGAGCCTCACCACTGAATCACAACATGGAAGAAAGCCATCTGCCAACCAGGACAGCCCACAATGAATTGTTGTTATATAGCACTGAAATATTTGGGTTATTTGTTATTACAGCTAGTATTTCCCAAACTAACACAATGATAAAGATAGTCAGTAATAATAGACCACTGTGATGGTTAACATTAGGTGTCAACTTGACTGGATTGAGGGATGCCCAGGTGGCTGAAGAAGCGTTGTTCCTGGGTGTGTCTGCGAGGGTACTGCCAGGTGAGATTGGCTTTTGAGTCAGTGTTCTAGGAAGAAAGACCCACCAATTGGTGGGCACCATCCAACTGGCTGCCAGCAAGGCTGGAACAAAGCAGGTAGAAGAAGGGAGATAAGCAGCTTGCTGCTGAGTCTTCCCACTCTCACTCTTCCCTTGCCATGCTGGACACTTGGCTTCCTCTCTTCCTGGTCTTCGACATCAGACTCCAGGTTCCTTGGCCTTTTGAACTGTAGGATTTGCACCAGCAGACTCCCAGAAGCTCTCGGGCCTTCAGCCTCAGACTGATGCTTGCATTGTCAGCTTCCCTGGTTTTGAGGCTTTTGGACTTGGACTGAGCCACACTACTGGCTTCTCTATTTCTCCGGCTTGCAGATGACTTATGATGGGACTTTGCCTTGTAATTGTGTGAGCCAATTGTGTAAGCCAATTCTCTCTAATAAACTCCCTTTATGTATATATATATATAGCAGCTTTGTTTTGTTTTTTTGAGATAGAGTCTTGCTCTTGTTGCCCAGGCTGGAGGACAGTGGCGTGATCTCGGCTCACTGCAACTCCACCTCCCGGGTTCAAGTGATTTTTCTGCCTCAGCCTCCTGAGTAGCTGGGATTACAGGCACCCACCACCACACCAGGCTAATTTTTGTACTTTTAGTAAAGATGGGGTTTTCCCATTTTGGCCAGGCTGGTCTCAAACTCCTGACCTCAGGTGATCCGCCCGCCTTGGCCTTCCAAAGTGCTGGGATTACAGGTGTGAGCCATTGCACCCAGCCATATAAAGCAGTTTTTACATATATCCTCTTGGTTCTGTCTCTCTGGAGAACCCTGACTAATACAACTACTTACTATGTGTCAGGTATTATGCTAAGCAATTTATACACATTATCCCATTTAAAGTGTATCCCAGACTCTCAGAAGTAGATATGTTATCTCCTTTTAAAGGGGGAAAAAACCCATAATGTAGACAATTGCATAATTTATCAAGGGTAATTAAAATATTGTATCTTTTACATAATAGATTTGAGAACCATGTCTAGGATCTCTTTTCAACCCAAACTCTTAACTACAATGTGGTATTTATAGGTTTGAAATTGATAGAATGACCTTATCCAAAGAGCCTGATTAATGAAATGATGCCCACCTAGCGGGAATGCTGAGGTTTAACATATCAATCAATGAACTGGATGAAGATATACAGTTCTGCATATCAAACCTGCAGGTGACAGGGAGCTGACAGAGATAAGTAGACTATATGAGAGAAAAGGATGAAAACGTCTATTAAAAGAATGCAGAAACGACTGGGGTCTTACAAATTAAAAGTAAATAAGGTTAAATATAAGTTTCTGTTATCATAGCCAGTAAACAAATTAGATAGGTACACAATGGGAGTGGCATGGCTTAGTAGTGACAAGAGTTATATGACAAAGTTTAGTTGTCAGTGCATTCAATATGGGTCAATAAATTGATGTGATTATCAGAGACAAATGTAATATTGGGCTAAATTAACAGTGTATCTAAAACATGAGAGGTAACAGCAGAACTCCACATTTTAAGAAAAAGATTGGTAAGTGTCCAAGATACGGAAGCATCTTGAACTCAAGTCAATTAAGAAATAACAAGATGTTGTAGATGCTTGTCCTGAAAAAAAATACTTAGGTGAATTATATTATGTGTCTTTAATTATATAAGAGTTTGTCATACGGAAGAGTAAGTTTTGGTATAACTTCAACAGTTGGAACAATAATCACAGAATGTAAGCTCAGGAAAAGTGATTTGGGTGTCACTGTAAGGAGAAACTTTCAAATACTGAGACTTGTCAAGAGCTGGAAGGGGCTTTCCTGTGAGGTAATGAGATTTCCATTATTGGAGGCATCGAAGCATAGTCTATTTTGCAAGATTAATCCAATGCTGAAATTAACAAAATAATCATGAAATTCTCCTCCTAAACTGAGAAACTACAATTAAATGGATGATTTATAGCTAAATTTTAATCAGTTCATACCCAAATCAGTAACCACTTTATAAGTTGTGAAGATTGAGTTATTAATAACTTTCCTGAAGCATGGTGAATAGAATGAGACAAAAATCTAATAAAAAAAGAAATATGCAGCGTTTCAGCCTTTGTATACCCAGCTCACCACCATTAACTGAATTTTGAACAATCCACTTCACTCTACCTGCAGAGGCACAGCCACAAATAAACACAGAACACAAATAAGCTATAAATAAATAAATATCCCAATTATAGTCTGTGCTTATGATTATGTGTGTGGAAAGAGCTGATTGTTTACAAGACTTGGGTGACAGGATTGCAAAGAGGTTGTTCATTTCGCATTGAGCCTTCAATGAGCTATAACAGTAAATTTTTTGTGTAAAGAAGAAAAGGAAAATGGATGCTCAATAATATTTTGCCCAGCACATACAATTTTTTTATCTAGTGAAATTTACAGACTTAGAGACTTGACCATTTAGTCCAAAAATGTTAGAAATATCTTTCTTTTCTAAAGCAATGTTTCTTTCCTGAAGTGATAGGTACTGCACCGTAAATTGAATGCCCCTACATGAAACCAGTAAGAAATGTCTCTTATATTTCTTTAATGGTTTGTAGCTTGATTTTTGTTAATCTGAAAAATGCAGCTGGGACAGTAGTTTATCAATATGAGTAACATGACTGGCTTGGGTATTTTACAGTCATGCAGAACTTTACCCCTTTCCTTCCTGAGCTAGTCCTCCATGATATAATACTGTACCAAACTTCATTTTTTATATTCTTAACACTGTTACCCTCTTCTTGTGTTGTTTTATAAAATTCTGTGAGGATAGCATTTTAAGGACATTTATATATAGAGAGAGCATTCTTTCCATCACCAGTAGCAATTCCATAGTACTAGAAACACCTCACAATGCAGAGAATGAAATGGTTATAGTCAAGTGAGAGCCACCAGATTTGATTCTCCATATAGAATTATTTTTAAAGGGAAAAATATTTCCTTTTGGTTTAACTAAACCAGAGCTTAATTGAGAGCTGAAAGCAGGCTCTATGGCCAATTTCCCTTGGACTCTAGGTTAAGTTATTTGAAATCTCATCCTTCTCTCCATATGTAAGGCAAAAAAATAGTTATCTGGCACAACTATGTTTGACAGCCTAAGTGCTAAACTCTATACAACTTTATGGGGATCCATGGATAAACAAATCATAGCTCTTGCCACTGAGGAATTCAGTTTGATAGGGATCTCTATACATGAGATTACTAGTTAACAAAGACTTGTACGCTAAAGCAATACTGAGATAGCACTTCTATACTTCATATTAACAGAGATGTATTATTCACTCGTTCATTCCACAGGTATTTATTGGGCATGTACTATGTGCCAAGCACCATTCTAGGTGCTGGGTATAAAACAAAGAATGAAAGAGAAAAAAAGATCCTTGCCCTAGCAGAGCTTAAATTCTACTAAAAATGATAATGTTCCAGTCTAGTCAACCCTAAGTGAGGCAAGCACTTTCATATGTAGATGGTGTTATTCTTCATAATATTAGTAATAATGTTTGAGAAGAAATTTTGAAATATGTAGAAGATTAAACTTCTTTCTTAAAAATCAGACAAACAAATAATACACCTTCCTTATTCCCATCTCCCCCTTGAGCTTCTATTTTATTTTTCTTCCATTACAAACTTCTTGAATAAATCATCTATACTTGCTGTTCTTTATCTTCACCTCCCACTTAACCTGTCTCCAGATTATTTCTACATCATAACATCTACTGAACTGACTTCCTACATATCAACAAAAACCATTCATTCATTTCAATTAAACCAATAAACATCTGTCCAGGATTTTGTATACCTGACTTTCCAGCAGCATTTGTTACAGTTGACCACTGCTCCCTTTTACAGTTCTCATGCCTTTGATTTGTGATACTGTTCTTATCTGCTGCCCCTCCTCCATCTCTGTCAATCTACCTTTTCCAGCTCTACCTTCTTCATTTGACAAAAACATAAATAAATAACTAAATGGTGGTATTCATTGGGCCTTTACCTTGGCCATCATGTCACCTAACTCCATACTCTCTGCTCAGGTAACTCCCATAACCTCTATAATCATCTGTGGGCAAAAGACGTTTGAATATGTATATCCAACTGTATTCTCCCCTGAGTTATGTGCCCTCAGGCTTGAGCTGATCTAGTTCACCCCTTATTTGACATTTCCATTTATACTTCTTTCAGCCATCTCAAACTCAACATCATTATTCCCATCCCACTCTAAACAAACTGCTCTTCTTCTAGTGCTCCCTCACTCAGTGAATGACACTAACCCAGTTTCATAAGCCTGGGGTCATCCTTGCTTCCTCCCTATTTTCAACTCCCACCACTAGTATCACGAAATCTCGCCAGCTCAACCTCCAAAATATCTGTCAAATATGTCCTCTTCTCTCTTCTCCACCATCAACACCTTAAGCTCCATCTTCTCTGGCCTAAACTCCTAACTGAAATCTCTGCAGCAACTCTTTGTCCTCAAAAAAATTCCCTATTTCCTAGCCAAAGTAGTGATAAAATCTGCTTCAATAGTTTCTTATATCATTAGAATTCAAAATATTTACCATACTTTAAAATCTGTAAAGCCTGGTCCTTCAACCGCTCCAGCTCTTTTCCTCACTCATGCAACTTCAGCCAGAATTGTACAATTTCAAGGTCCTGGTATTTCTAGGAATCTCTTTCTCTTTGGATCTTCAAATACTCTGATCCTTCTCCAGGAGACTCCGTGCCCGTTGCCACTGCCTCTCTTCAACCTGCTGGCCAAGTTTCATTCTTCAGGCATCACCACTTTTTTCGAGAGGTTTTACTTGACCTCCTTCTTTTAAGTCAGGATTTTCTGTTGTGTGATAATCTCACTAGATAAACTCTGTACGAAATGTTCATCAAATGCTCAACACATTTAAATATATTTGTTTTCCCTGCCAAATTGTAAACTCCCTAAAAGAACTCTGTGTATCTTATTTACAAGCGTATTTTAGAAACAAACACAGTGCTAGTTATGAGATAGCTATTCAGTATGTTTTTGTTGAATAAAAGAAGAAATAAATAAATGAATGACTTTATTAAAGGTACTCAAAGTTCTGGCCTAAGAAAACTCAAGATAAGTAACAAATATAATTGATAAAATTTCATCATCATGTTATATATTAAAACAAAAAAATTAAACTACCCAAAGCACAAAACTCAAAAAAATAGTTAAGTATAGTGAGCAGGGATTGGCAACCTTTTTCTGTAAATAACTGGATAGTAAATATTTTTGGCTTTTGGGGCCACAGTGTCTCTCTGTCATAACTTCTAAACTGGCTATTTTATCCCAAAATGAACTATGCACAATATGTTAACAAATGATTGTGGCTGTGTTCCAGTAAACTTTATTTACAAAAAACAATGGTAGGCTGGATATGGCCCAAGGGTCATAGTTCTCTGATCTCTTCATTAAATGTCCACATGATAGTACATTTGGTTAAAAAAAATGATATTCACAAAGTATGTTCTATAATATGCTTAGATTATAGTGTCAAGAAAAGAAATCTGGGGTTCTCCAAATATTACACAGAGAGTTAAATTAATATGGTTAAAATATTTGCATGGAAAAAGCTTAAAAACTTTAAAAAAAAGTTAAAAGCAATTACTAGTGGGTCATGAATGTATGGAGAATTGATTTCTCTTTGAGCTTTTCTGAACTTTCTTAGACATTAACCATTTGTTTTATATTTAGAAATAAATAATTCATCATTTTAATAATTAGGGGAAAATAAGCATTAAAGGTATTTAAGTGTAAAGAAAATTTACCCATAAATAACTAGAAGAAAATATGTGGGAAACATTTATTTGACTTACTGATAAACTTCTATTATTAAAATTTATGAAATATATTTCAAAGAAAAAAACTAAAATACATAATATTGCAATCAAATATTTTATGAAAGTAAGTATTTCAAGTACCCAAAACAACCTGGGATGTTTTATGCAGAAAATCTGATAGAGAAACATTAATATATTATCTATATTAAGAACCTACTGATAATAAGAAAGGTTCTAGTGTTTTCAGCAACTAAAGAATAAAAAAATGTCAAACAGCCAATTCATGAAACTACACACATCTCACAAACATATGAAAACCATCCACATCCAAACTCAAAAGAAGGCAATCAAGTTAAACACCAAGGCAAATGGCCCCCAACTGTAAAAATCCATTGAAAACACAATTTTACTTTATATCCTCAGTAAAATGAAGAAAGTTATTAAATTAATAAAATAAGAACAGGTTGCCAGGCATGGTGGCTCACGTCTATAATTCCAGCGCTTTGGGAGGACGAGGTGGATGGATTGCCTGAGCTCAGGAGTTTGAGACCACCCTGGGAAACATGATAAAACCTTGTCTCTACTAAAAATACAAAAAATTAGCCAGGCATGCTGGCACACACCTGTGGTCCCCACTACGTGGGAGGGCGAGGTGGGAGGATCACTTGACCCTGGGAGGCAGAGGTTGCAGTGAATCAAGATTTCACCACTGCACTCCAACCTGGGTGACAGAGTAAGACCTCATCCCAAAAACAAAAAACAAAACAAAAACAAGCTACTTTAAAAGGTTATAACTTGAAAAAAAGAAAGATTTTGCGGCCGGGCGCGGTGGCCCACGCCTGTAATCCCGGCACTTCTGGAGGCCAAGGTGGGTGGATCACATGAGGTCAGGAGTTCGAGACCAGCCTGGCCAACATGGTGAAACCCCATCTCTACTAAAAATACAAAAATTAGCCGGGCGTGGTGGCATGCACCTGTAATCCTAGCTACTCGGGAGGCTGAGGCAGGAGAATCACTTGAACCCAGGAGACAGAGGTTGCAGTGAGCTGAGATTGCATCACTGCACTCCAGCCTGGGTGACACAGCGAAACTCAGTCTCAAAAAAAAGAGAAAGATTTTGCACAGAAAACTACCACATAAGTAGGTGTGCTGAAATTAAAAACACATGCACACAATAGAGGCAGTGTTACGGGTTTAACTGTGTTCCTGAAAAGTATATATTGAAATCCTAGCCCCCAGAGAATGTGACCTTATTTGGAAATAGGGTCATTTTAGATTTGATTAGTTAAGATGTCATACTGGAATAGGTGAGCCCTTAATCCAATATGACTGGTGTCCTAATAGGAAGAGGAGAGCGATTCAGAAAGAATAACTGCTATGTAAAGACACAGAGACACACAGCGAGAAGAAAGCCATGTGAATGAAGATGGAGGCAGGGAGTGAATTACGATACCACAAGCCAAAGAATGTCTCAAGCCATCAGAAGCTAAAGAGGCAAGAAAGGATCCTCCTCTAGTGGCTTAGAGGAAGCATGGCCCTGCCAACACCTTGGTTTCAGACTGCTAGCCTCAGAACTGGGAGAGAACACATTTCTGTTGTTTTAAGCCTCTTATTTAATGGTACTTGGTTATGTCAGCCATAGGAATCTAATATAGACAGTAAATAACAGAATGTGCAATCCTAAAAGAACCCATGAAAAATCCTCTCCAGTGGCTTTCCACTGTCCCCAGCGTAAAATCCATTCATCTTAACAAAGTCTTCAAGACTTTTACCTGATGTGGCCACTGCTTACAACCAAACTTCATCTCCCAAGCACTGCTGCCTCACCCACTATGTTTTATTCTGGCCATCTTTGAGTTCCTCAGGGATGTTAGCTCCCTTGAGCTAAGGCAAATGCCTTCACCGTCTTGGGGCTTTGCACATGCTGTTCCCTATGCCTGGAACACTCTTCCCTCCACTTTCTCTCTGCTTGGCTCCTTCTCATACTTCTCTCCTTCTCAGCAAAAATGTTACTTTCTCAAGAGGCATTCCTTAATCATCTCTAAAGTTACCGTCCCCTCTCCCAGTCTTGATATTTCCTATTATGGTAATCAGTTTCTGCCATAGAAAATAGCATAGTTAAGAGGAGTCTAACTTAGATGGGGTAATTAGGGACAGCCTCTTGACATGTTGGACCACTGAATGGGTAAAACGATTTTACTATGATATTAAATACTATTGCTGAGAAGCATAACTTGGGAGAAATCTTTCAGGAATACATTTGGCTCAATGTATTCAGAGGCTTCAAAAATATGTTCTAAGAAAAAAATGGGGGAAAAGGAACAGTTTTTCATTTCAAAAGAATTCCAGTCAATGAATGTCAAAGGAAAGAGGGAAATACAGTATCACCATTAGGCAAACACCACAGTAATAATTATTGCTGATAAGATCCACTAATGGATGCTAAGATTAATGGGCAAAAGTTGAGGAGAAATAGGATATTTGTGTAAGTCTCAAAGTTATCTCCCTCAAGATATTTATTAATAAAGGCCGGGCGCGGTGGCTCACGCCTGTAATCCCAGCACTTTGGGAGGCCGAGGCGGGCGGATCACGAGGTCAGGAGATCGAGACCATCCCGGCTAAAATGGTGAAACCCTGTCTCTACTAAAAATACAAAAAATTAGCCGGGCGTAGTGGCGGGCGCCTGTAGTCCCAGCTACTTGGGAGGCTGAGGCAGGAGAATGGCGTGAACCCGGGAGGTGGAGCTTGCAGTGAGCTGAGATCCCGCCACTGCACTCCAGCCTGGGCGACAGAGCGAGACTCCGTCTCAAAAAAAAAAAAAAAAAAAAGATATTTGTTAATAAAGAGAGAAAATACAGAATACTGGATCAGATCTCAGGACAGAAAAACATGTTGCTGGAAAAATTGGCAAAATTTGAATAAGATCTCTAGTTTTGTCTTTGCACAAATGTCAGTTTCCTGATTGCATAATTGAATTGTGATTATGTAAAGCATTAATATTAAGGGAAACTTGTTGAAGGGTACAAGGTACTCCGCATCATTTTTGCAACTGTTTTGTCAGACTAAAATTATTTCAAAATAAACAGTTAAAAATTTAATAATTAATTTTAAAAAGTCACAGGGAAAAGAGAACATTGATCTATCAAGATGTAAAATTCACTGGTTCTGCCTCCAGGAGGTAGAAAGAAACTTGCTTGGTTATTTAGACCTTGCTTGGCCTACACTGAATGCATGCATGTCTGTATTGAAAATGCAGGCTTTAAAAAAGTTCATCCAGAAAAGAAAAATAAAGTTGGAGGTCTCACATTTTCTAATTTCAAAACTTACTACAAAGCAGGGAAAAGCTTCATGACATTGGAATTGGTAATGATTTTTTTTAATTTAAAAAATTATAAATTTTTTTACTTTAAGTTCTAGGGTACACATGCACAACGTGCAGGTTTGTTACATATGTATACATGTGCCATGTTGGTGTGCTGCACCCGTTAACTCCTCATTTACATTAGGTATACCTCCTAATGCTATCCCTCCCCCCTCCCCCCACCCCCCAGCAGGCCCCAGTGTGTGATGTTCCCCACCCTGTGTCCATGTGTTCTCATTGTTCAATTCCCACCTATGAGTGAGAACATGTGGTGTTTGGTTTTTTGTCCTTGCAATAGTTTGCTGAGAATGATGGTTTCCAGCTTCATCCATGTCCCTATAAAGGACATGAACGCATCCTTTTTTATGGCTGCATAGTATTCTATGGTGTATATGTGCCACATTTTCTTAATCCATTCTATCATTGATGGGCATTTGGGTTGGTTCCAAGTCTTTGCTATTGTGAATAGTGCTGCAATAAACATACGTGTGCATGTGTCTTTATAGCAGCATGATTTATAATCCTTTGGGTATATGCCCAGTAATGGGATGGCTGGGTCAAATGGTATCTCTAGTTCTAGATCCTTGAGGAATGGCCACGCTGTCTTCCACAATGGTTGAACTAGTTTACAGTCCCACCAACAGTGTAAAAGTGTTCCTATTTCTCCACGTCCTCTCCAGCACCTGTTGTTTCCTGACTTTTTAATGATCGCCATTCTAATTGGTGTGATTTCTTGATATACTACCAAAAGTACATGCAATAAAACAAAAAATAAATTGAATTTCAAAGTTAGAAACTTTTGTGTATCAAAGAACACCATCCACAGGATGGAAAGGCAACCATGGAATGGAAGAAATTTTTTGTAAATCTTATATTTGATGGGGATTAATGTCCAGAATATATAAATAACTCCTAAAACTTAACAAAAGAAAACAAGTCCATTAAAAAATGGGAAAAGATCTTTAACACTCAAAGAATATACCCAAAAGATAAACAGATGGACAATAAGTACATGAAAAGATACTTAACCATCACTAATCTTTAGAGAAATGCAAATCAAAACCATGAAGAGACACGACTTCACACCTGACAGAATAACCATTATTTTTAAAAAGAAAGAAAGAAAATAACTGTTGGTGAGAACATAGAGAAACTGGAATCCTTGTGCATTGCTGGTAGCAATTGTGGAAGCAGTGGAAAACAAAATGGCAGTTCCTCAAAAAATTAAACATAGAATTACCATATGATCCAGCAATTCCACTTCAGGGTATGTACTCAAAGGAAGTGAAAACAGAGACTTGAAGAGATAATGTACACCAATGTTCACAGCAGACTTATTTACAATAGCCAAAAGGTAAAGTAATCCAAATATCCTTCAATGGAGGAATGAATAAACAAAATTTAGTATACATACAAAATAGAATACGAGCCTTAAAAAGGAAGGAAATTCTGACATATGCTACAACATGGATGAAACCTGAAGACATTTATTTAGTAACATGAGTCAACACAAAAGGACAAATATTGTATGATTTCAACTACATAAGGTGCCTAGTGTAGTCAAATTCCTAGAGATGGAAAGTAGAATGCTAGCTGCCAGTGGCTGAGGGGAGGATAAAAAGAGGAATTATTGTTATGAAACAGAGTTTCAGCTTGAAAAGGGGGAAAAGTTCTGGAGATGAATGGTGGTTCCGGTTCCACACAATGTGAATGACCAGCGTCACCAGACTCTACACTTAAAAATGTTTAAAATGGTAAATTTTATGTTATGTACGTTTTATCACAATAAAAAAATATATTTTAGCTCAAAAGTTCTAATTTTGGGAACTTTTATCAAGAAAATAACATGAAAAAATCAAAAAAGCTTCCTGTACAAGATGTATCATTATTTAGAATAGCCCGACACAAGAAAGAGCCTAAATGTCCAACAATAAAAGAATGGTTAATTAAAGTATGTTATGACCACACAGAGTTACGATACAGCCATTAAGAAGATTTTAATAAAAAGGAGTAAATGCTTATGTTATTATGCTGTCATAAAATAATGTACAAATGCATAAGAAGTTATAAAGAAAATAAATCACAAGTTAACCATGGGTTTTCACACTGTGCTAGAAATATTTTCTATTGCTTCAATAAAACAATATTTGGGGGAGGGAAACAGCAGTAGGTTCTCCAAGGTAGCCATCAATCCTACAGATCCAGGATTTTTCTCTTTTTTTTTTTTTGAGATGGGGTCTCACTCTGTTGCTCAGGCTGGAGTCCAGTAGCGCCATCTCAGCTCCCTGCAACCTCCGCCTCCCGGGTTCAAGGATTCTTCTGCCTCAGCCTCCCGAGTAGCTGGGACTACAGGCACGCACCACCACACCCAGCTAATTTTTGTATTTTTAGTAGAGACGGGGTTTCACCATATTGGCCAGGCTGGTCTCAAACTCCTGACCTTGTGATCCGCCCACCTCAGCCTCCCAAAGTGCTGGGATTACAGGCGTGAGCCACCGCGCCTGGCCAAATTCCAGGATTTTTCTACTTGGCCTATCTGAATATGGGCACTTAGGAAGTAACAGAACTATATGGAATTTTCAAGAGGAGAGTAAATAACTTCTTGTAGTTCTGACTGTGCTGGGCACTGAATTACACACTAGAGCTGCACTATGTAATGCAGACCTCAGAACTGTGAACCTATAGACATTATTTCCTCTACTCTTCTAGGGAAGAAACTAAGACTCAACAAAGCTAAGCAACTTACTTATCTATTGAAATGGCAGAGCTGAAACAAGAACCCCTCTGATTCTACAGCTTATGTTCTTTTTTTTTGAGACAGAGTCTCGCCCTGTCGCCCAAGCTGGAGTGCAGTGGTGCAATCTCAGCTCACTGCAAATTCTGCCTCCCGGGTTCAAGCGATGCTCCTGCCTCAGCCTCCCGAGTAGCTGGACTACAGGCGCGTGCCACCATGCCCAGCTAATTTTTTGTATTTTTAGTAGAGACGGGGTTTCACCGTGTTAGCCAGGATGGTCTCGATCTCCTGGCCTCTTGATCTGCCCGCCTCGGCCTCCCAAAGTGCTGGGATTACAGGCGTGACCCACCGCGCCCAGCCTACAGCTTATGTTCTTTCTACACTGCAAGTCTCCAGTGTATTCAACTTGGGGCAAAAGGAGTGCAGTGGGCACTGGAATAATTATATTGATCCCTGGGAGGCATTTAATGCAAGGCAACCTCTCTATGTCCAACAGGACTACAATACATTCAGAATCATTTAAACTCAAGGATTTGACAGCAAAACCATCTGTGGAGACGTTCAATATGGTATATAACAAATTATGCTCAAGTAGAATGGAGGACGTTTTATTGCATATAATTTCAGGAAAAAATACATATTCTAGGGGCCACCTTAGTGCATGTATACTACACTTCTGTGAAACTCAAGTGGAAAAAAGATGTAATAATCCCACAAGAGACTGGAAATCCTTTAAGAAAGAGCACATTTGACAAATTATTGCAAAATTAGTTTGTTCATTCAACAAATATTTATTAAGGAATAACACTGAGCTACATACAATACTAGTGTGGAACCAAAAATTATAGGTTTTAAATTTTGAGAGACTGGTATATTTTCATATTTGATAACAAGCCTTGTAAATTTGGGTAGAGAGGCTAATTTCAGAGACAGGAATACTTGGAGAATTTAAAATTCTGTGCTGAAATTGCTCTTATCCATTCACAGAGGAAGAAGATTTTGCAGGATGCTTAAATTCATGTGAACATAGATAGGAGTTTGACTAGAGGACTAATAAATATAATCATTTTCCTGCAAGGCTTGTAGCAGCATGATCATTTAAGTAGTAAAACATGTTTATTTTAGAAAATTTTATTTGTCCACTTAGAAACAGAGCAATCTTGTGTAATTCACCCCATAAAGACTGAACTTGATGTGAAATTTCAAACGTTTTTAATTTTTATACTGACTCTCCCTCTAAAATGTTTGTATGAAGGAAATCAAGTTGTTTTTTAGCATATTTGGTCCAAACACAATGTGAAACTTCATTTCTTTCACAAAACCTATTTTTAATACCCTCCAACAAAATTCATTGTTATAGATTCACCTTTTTAATTAACTCAACTAAAGATGTTAGCACTACTAAACATGTGTGGCTAAGCTATACCATCCAGTTCCTTGAGAGGATGTCACTGGCCTGTTTATTTGAAATCTTTATACTTTTTTGACGTAGGTATTTATTGCTGCAAACTTCCATCTTAGCACTGCTTTTGCTGTATCTCATAGGTTTTGGTATGTTGTGTTTCCATTTTCATTTGTTTCAAGAACTATTTTTATTTCCTTCTTAATTTCTTCTTCAACTCAATGGTCATTCAGGAGCACACTTTTATTTTCCTTGTATTTGTACAGTTTGTAAAGTTCACGTTATTGATTTCCAGTTTTATTCCATTGCAAGCCAAGAAGATAGTTGACATGATTTCGAATTTTAAAAATTTGTTGAGACTTGTTTTGTGGCCTAATATATGGTCTATCATAGAGAATGTTTCATGTGCTGATGAGAAGAATGTATATTCTGCAGCTGTTGAATAAAATGTTCCATAAAAGTCTGTTAGGTCCATTTGGTCTAAAGTGCAGTTTAAATCCAATGTTTCTTTGTTGATTTTCTGTCTAGATGATCTGTCCAATGCTGAGAGTGGGGTGTTAAAGTCCCCAACTGTTATTGTATTGAAGCCTGTCTCTCCCTTTATATCTAATAATAATTGCTTTATGTATCTGGATGCTCCAGTGTTAGGTGCATATGTAATTAGAATTGTTAAGTCCTCTTGCTCAATTGACCCCTTTATCATTATGTAATGACCTTCTATGTCTTTTTTGACTGTTTTTGACTTAAAGTCTGTTTTATCTAAGTATAGCTACTCCCGTCAGTGTTTAGTTTTCATTTGTGTGGAGTATCTTTTTCCATCATTTCACTTTCAGTGTATATGAGTCTTTACAGGTGAAATAAATTTCTTTAGGCTGCATATAGTTTGGTCATGTTATTATTTTTTCATCCATTCAGCCAATCTATATCGTTTAAGTGGGGAAATTAATCTGTTTTGTAAACAGATTGAAGTTTACTGATAGGTGAGGTCTTACTTCTATCATTTTGTTAATTGTTTTCTGGTTGTTTTATGTATCATCTATTCCTTTCCTTCTCTCATTGCTTATTGTGATTTGGTGGTTTTCTGTAGTGGTAACATTTGATTCCTGTCTCTTTGATATTTGTGTGTCTGCTCAATCAGTGAGTTTTTAAACTTTTGTGTGTTCACACCATATTGTCACTCATATGTGGAGCTAAAAAAGTTGATCTCATGAAGGTAGAGAGTAGAATGATGCTTACCAGAGGCTGAGAAGAGTGTGGGGTGAAGGCGGTGGCAGGGGGGTAGTGACAGAGAGAGGTTGGTTAATGGGTACAAATGTACAGATAGAAGAAATAAGTTCTAGTGTTTCACAGAACAGTAAGGTAACTATAGTTAACAATATATTGTATATTTCAAAATAGCCAGAACAGAAGATTTGAGCTGTTCCCAACACAAAGAAATGATAAATGTTAGAGGTGCTGGATATCCTAAATACCCTGATTTAATCATTACACGTTGCATGCATGTATCAAAATATCACATGTATCCATAAGTATGTACAAATATTGTATATCAATACAAAATATACCATCCAGATCATGGTTTAAGTGATTCTCAGAGTACTGACAGGCTCACACCTTCTGCCTCAATTGCCCCCTCTATCAAGACAAAGATTGTAGCCCCATAATTCAGAAATCCTCTTATTATATCCCAGAGTTTACAGAATCTTCATAGCCTATTCTTTTCATTTCAAAATTCATGTTCCTGTATTTCCATACTGTTGCCTTTTACAAGGGTTTTTTTTCCAGCCCCTCATGAAAGTATAGTTTCTGTAATGGCCTTTGTAACAACTTAAATGGAGCTGGAGGCCATTAAACTAAGTGAAGTAACTCAGGAATGGAAAACCAAATATCATATGTTACCACTTATAAGTTGGGGCTAAGTTATGAGGATGAAAAGGCATAAGAATGATAAAATGAACTTTGGGGACTCAGGGGAAGGGGTGGGATGGTGGTGATGGATAAAAGACTACATATTGGGTACAGTGTACACTGCTTGGGTGATGGGTGCACCAAAATCCAGAAATCACCACTAAAGAACTTATCCATGTAACCAAAAACCACTTTACCCCAAAAACTATTTAAATAAATTTAAAATAAGATATTAATAAATTCATTGAAGAAAAAAAGAAGTATGTTTTTCTGACTTTGGCTTATGTCTCAACCCCTTTATGCTGTCTCTCGGGTTTCTCTTATTCCACGGTATAGTCTTCTCATTCCAAGACCACTGGGGATGGAGAAAGCTTTGTCCAATCCCAATCCCACCCTAGCTCCTGCACCAGGCCCCCAGGATCCACTTGGATCCAATCCATTTATTTTAGGATCCCTTTCATCTGGGAAGGGAGAAAAAAGAGGTTTTGCCAATATAGGGCTCAATGCTAGATGAAAATAGAAAATACTTTGGGAAAATCCAGTTGACCTGACATATTATGATGAGTGGCTTCAATAATCTCTAAATGCCATTAGCAGGTTCAATGTTTGTCTTAAAATATAAAAAGTAACCAGGGTGATACCTAGGATGTTATATTTTAGAAGTCACATTTGTGACACTGGCTAGTCAATGGCAATCCAACAATGCTCTTAAAATTAGTACATTTTGGTGATGTTCACATTTTTATCCTAGGAAGACTCAGTGAAATAATTTTTCCAATCATCATTCTGGCTGTAGTGAAACAAGGCCAAATTCTCTTTTGTCCCATAAATAAAACTGATGATGATTAAAAGAAATCTTTATTACAGTGCTTTCCAAAGTGTCACACACTTACCTATTGCTTCTAAGGCAAAGTATGCTTAGGTAAGTTTGGTTAACATTAGGTAAGTCTGTCACCTGATTCTTTTCATACCTTCAATAAAAGATCATTTCAGAAATGCAGACTTAGCTAAAGATAGAAAATTTATATTATTACTAAATAAATGTTGAACTTGTTCTGGAAAAATAAAATAAAATAAAACAGGTTTTACAGCATTTTAAAGTTCTCCATGTCCCTAAGTGTTATGTCACGAGATCATCTTGTAGACAAAAGGTATTAAGAAGGTCTGAAAAGCCTCAGTGGGCAATTTAAAAATAATGCAGTCACTACTGAAGAATTTTAATCTTATTTCTTAAATGTGGCTCGTGCCTAGAAATACCTGTTAAAATGCTAATCTTATGGATTTGCTAAACCATTCTTTCTTCCACCAAAGAATGTGCAAGCTTTGCAGCAAGTCATCTCTAAAGTTTTCTAGCTCAATTTCTTCAAATGGCAAATCCCTTATTTAAGACTCTTCAACAGACACTTAAGTGAGGCAGAAGAACCGAGGCTGACCAGAAGGCCTGATCTTCCTGTTAGTGTTGTAGGAATTTTGCATATGCATTTTTCCAATGTTGGTGACCAGTCAAAATACACTGATCACATCTCTTAGGATTTTTCCTAGGGAGCAAAAATCACTTGAAAAGGCTATTTTTAAAAAATCTTTGATTTAATAATTAATTTTGAGAAAGGTCATCATGCAATACCTACTCCAAAGGTCACACAACTACATGTGTTATTAGTCTACTTTTATGAAATGGAGGCAAGACAACATCAGAGACATTTTCAACAGAACAAGTGCAAAGGCCACTGCATCATCAGTATTCATTCAGTCTCATAACTATTACAACCTTATTTATGTATTCATTCATTCAGTCTTAATGCTACAGTAAACAGATACATCTGGAAGGAAGAGGGAGAAAAAGGACAAGATATAATGACTCTTTGTAAAAGCGTTAGGTTTTGACTATGTAAGCTTCTAAACCAAGAAAACCCAAGCAGCCAGTTAATGGATATGCATTAGGTCAGAGCATGAAGGGCTAAGAGACAGGCTGAGTGACAGATGAGGGAGTAGTTTTACTGGAAAAGATCAGAGATGAGTTACTTTGTCCAACACCATTCAGCTCTGTCTGTGGAGGGAGAGAAAATGCACCCTGAGGGCATGGTTTCATGCAGAAGAATATTGAGGAAGCTGAGACAGTGGGGCCAAGAAGTGACACCCACCCCAAACTTTGCATGAGGGCCTAAAGAAGGGACACTATGTCAACTGTTGTAGAAGTGAAGAGGCATTTAAAGACTGGGGTGGACCACAAATTCTCTGTCCACATACAGTGCCCAAAGTTGCTGTGGTTCTCTTCTATGTCTCCAAATATATATCATCATCTTTATTTTTGGGGAGTTCTCTAGAATGTTCACGTTCTCTGGAGCTCCATACGGCATCTCATTCTTTAAACTCACTTTAGTAGTTTCAAATAACAGGCATATTCTGATGATTCCCAAATGACTGCATAAAGTCCAATTTATTTTCTGTATCTGATTGCTGACCATACTCCTCTACCTTGATGTTCCATAGATGCCTCAACTAACATATATATCTGACCTCACTACCTCTCTCACCACATAATTCTCACCTTCCTGAATTATGGATTTTTGTGATCAGTATCAACTTGTCACTTGGTACACCTATCCATGTAATAAAAATTAATTAATTAATTAATTTGCCACTACCATAAACCAAGAATAGGGAATAAGCACAATAGGACAACCAACTGAAATACCAAAACAAAATTATCATATGGTAATAATAACAGACAACATGTGATAAGTCCTTCCTAAATGCCAGGCATATTCTAAGTGCTCTGCCTGCATTAATTCATGTACTCTATATGCTTACTGAATGATAATTACTAAGAACTGTGCTAGGGTATGTCACACACACATATGCATTTACAAATGGCATATATAAATTCCATTCGTTTAATTAGCAAAACTCTTATAAGGTGAGCATTAGTCCCTCACTT
The DNA here is from genome assembly GCF_000001405.40 of Homo sapiens. Taxonomy (NCBI): domain Eukaryota; kingdom Metazoa; phylum Chordata; class Mammalia; order Primates; family Hominidae; genus Homo; species Homo sapiens. The sequence continues at coordinate 44,161,498 of NC_000012.12, read as the reverse complement.
TCCTTTTAAGGAAATAGGAGCAATAAAATTAATAGCAATAGCTAGCATTTATGAGAGCCTATCATGACATAAGTTCCATGCTAAGTGACTTACAAGGATGTAGGGATCAGTTCACTTTACCAATAAGGAAATTAAGACCCAGGTCATACAATTACTAAGTATCAGAATTGAGATTTAAACCCAACTGTATGCAAATTCAACATTCTTTCCATTATTAATATGATAGGTTATCTTTATAATTTTGTTTATTAAGATAGGAACAGACGCAAAAATTTTCAGAAAAATTTCATCAAAACACAATTATAGTCACAAACTTCCAGGGTTTAATTTGTGTTTATGTTAACTATTGAGTAAAGAGAAATATGTATTTTGATGTCAAATAAATGAGATGTTACTCAATATCCCTGAAAACCCTATTGCCCAGTGCTCACTGCACTTCATGATTATAGCCAATTAGTGGCTGTGTAACCTTGACTCAAAATGCCTCTACTTCCTCAGCTATAAAATAGAAATAATCATAATATACCTAATACCATTTGGCTCTAAATAAATCAATAGGTTTAAAACATTTAGAACAGGCTTTAGCACATGGATTCAAATTTTGTATATTACTATTGTAATTACTATGGCAGCTACAATAATTCATTTCAAATCATCAACACGGATCAAGGCATTGATAGGGTAATTTCTTTTTTTAGAAACAGGATCTCACTATGTTGCCCAGGCTGGCATGCAGTGGACCAACCATAGCTCACTGCAGCCTCAAACTCCTAGGCACAAGCGATCCTCTCACCTCAGCCTCCCTAGTAGCTAGGACTACAGGTATGCACCACAGAGCCCAGCTAATTTTAAATTTTTTGTGGAGCCAGTGTCTTGCTATGTTGTGAGGCTGGTTTCAAACTCCTGGCTTCAAGCAATCCTCCCACCTCAGCCTCCCAAAGTGATGAAATCACAGGTGTGAGTTACCACACCCAGTTAATTTTTTAAACTGTATAAGGAAATCCAACTTATTCAATACTTACATTCCTGAAAAATTATATACAAATCAAATTTTTAATAAAGTAAATAGCATTCTTGCTGAAAATAAGCTTCATTGGTGGATCGTACTGCACTGTAACTAGTAATTTCCTTTTGTCACTTATCTTTTAAAATGGTAGAGAAATATGGATATATATTAACTTTTCTGTGAGTTATATGTGTGTGTGTATATATATATACATATGTGTATGTGTATGTAATTTACTTAATGCATGAACAAAATAATTTAGATGCTCAATATAACACCACTGAATTGACTTGGCGATCTAAAAGGGCTAACGCAGCTTACAAATACATGAGCCTTTCTCTGTGGATTGGACATCTACACATTCTCGGTACTTATTTTTATCCTTGGAATACCTTCAGGGAATGTCATGTTGCTTTCCAGGCTAGTAGCAGGGTCCTGCTAATTTACAATCTGCCACTTCTCTCTGAGCCCTCCTTTGGCCAGGGTCTTTGTGCTTTCATCCTCTCTCTGATTTGAAACTAGGAACCTGGGTGGAGATGAGCATTATCTTAAATTGCCTACATTTGTTCCTGTGCCTTCTCTGTCATTTCCACACCAGCACTTTGTTTCTCACCAGGCATCTGGTAGCTTAGATTCTTTATTAAAATTATTTTTTAGTATTATTATCAAGAACCATCTGAATTAAGTTCATTCTGCTGATGTTTTCAACAAAGTTACAAAGTAATTAATAATTTTATCAGCATTTTAACTTTTAATGGCATGTTTACGGAGAACCATAAATATACTTATGTTTAGGGTATCAGTGCTAATTCACAGGCACGCAGAAATTATATGCCCCACAGTTTGACACCAAATCTTGTGATTATCTGGCTGCACATTATTATCATGAATTTCAAGCATGAATGGGCAAAGCCTTCATTAGAAATTATGGACACACTGTTTAGGAAAAAAAATGCTAACATCAAAAGTGAGGCTGGCATTTGGTAAGCTTTCAAAAGCACAGCTCTGCAATTGTTTCAGCTTGATTAACCATTCACACCTCTGCATTTGTTTTAGAAAACTAAACCATCTGCAGTTTTTGGTTAAAAAAAAAAGTCTTTAAAGAGTAAATAATGCTGTTGGACACTGCAGTCTGTTTTCCCTGTAGGTAAACAGAACAAGAGCTAGAGTCCAACAAGCTGGCAAATAATGTTTTTTCAAAGGAAAGGAAATGCTAAGAAGACAGAGATTTTAAGGCAGTAACAGACATTCCATCTGAAGAAGACTTAACACTTTCAAACTCAGCCTTCCACTTCCCATGGCTGCAACATTTGGTGATTAAGGATTGCCATTCACCATTTCTGCTGCTGAAATATTATCTCAGAACCAATATAATTACCTACCCATAAAATATTTTCCATTTGCCGCCCCCATCTCCAATCAGCCCAGTACCACAGAAATTCTCTGCAGATTTCTTCCTCCCAGCACTAAACATCAAACATGCATCACCCCAGTCTCTGAGGCTGCTGGCGTCTTGTATTCTGCAACCCTTGCTCCTCCTCACCTTTCTTCTCTACTTGCACATTAGCTACAATCTGCCAGCCAGCTGTACCACAGCAAGGATGCCAAAGACCAGGGCAGACACTGATGGCCACTGACAACATGGTCAATAATCACTTTCCTATTGTGTAGAATTCCTATTATGTAAAATCTTTGTAATTGACTTTTTCAGGGCTGCTATTTTTTTTTAAAGTTCCCAAATGCAATTTAATTTTTGCAATAATGTTTCTAGAGTTTGTTATTTTCCAACTGTACTAAAACACCCTAGACCCAACATTTAAACTCCAACAATATATGATTAAATTTTTTAAGATGCCATGGCAACCAAAGATTAAATCTGAATTTGAATAATAGAACTCAGACTCCCTTAAAAATTGTCTCTCAGCTGAAAAGAATACTAATATAATTTTGTGTGGAGTCTTGTCAAGTGCTTTCAAGAAATGTCAAACTATATTTTTAGCCATGGAGTTTGCTTAATCCCATAAGACACTATCTCGCCTTTATGTTGACAAAGGAACAGGACTGAAATATCAGGGATCTGAGCTTCTGTCAGGATCCACTTCACATCAAAAGTTGTTGTCCTTGAGCAGCTGTTTTGTCAAAACTTTCGAATTAAAATCTGCACTTGCCTTTATGATTCCCCTGGGTTTACTATTGAATTCTTTTGTTGTCACACCTGAATTGACTCCAAGCTTTACTTTTATAGACAAGTCAATGAAATGTTGTGGAAACATAACGCAGAGGAGAGGTCCTGATAATTGTCACTGACTAGGAAAATACCATCTTTACTCAGCTACTTCCCAAATTTGCTTCCTGAATTACATATCTGGCCCAAACTCCCTTTCCTTCATGTTTTTCTGCATATAATCCATTTTAGAGAATATAGCATTCATACTTTAATAAAATCTGCTACTTGGACTCTACTAAAATAAGCAGGACTAAAAGTATACACAAGAAAACTATTTGGATGAGTATCTAATTTTTGCCTCAAATACTCATAGACTTTAGAACTCAGAACTCATCAGGATGGAAAATTATGAGACAAAGTTTTATGGCAAAACTCAAATTGTCTACTTTGAGTCAAGATTATATTTTAAAGTTTTTCATTCCTCAATACTTCTTTTTAGTCACTTATTTTAATAAATGGGACTATGATTTGCCTGCTCAAGACTGTCTTACCATCTTTTGAAAAGTATACCTAACATATAAGCATTCCTTACAGAACACAAACTTTTTATTGTGTTTTCATCACATAATTCATATAATTCATATTTTAATTTCTATAAGCAGAGAAAATTGTAAAATGACATAACACTAACATCAGGTATATTTATAATTCAGAGTGACCTACTTACAGCCGACCTCATTATTTTTTTAAAAAGGCTGCTATGTAAAATAGTGATTATACAGTCTTGGTATCAGTTCCTGTTTGGCTAAGCTTTGGAAATGACACTAGAGCAACAATAAAAAGATGTTAAAATTAGTAAAAAGTCTTCATTCAGAAAATCCAAATTGAGAACGATATTTTAAGATGTTCTAATGTATGAAACACTGTAATTTTTTAAATTAAGTAACACTAACAATATTAGCAGTCATAATTCCACATGCTTTATCTTTTATCTCACAGCAGTTCACAGCCATATCCTCTAAGTAATAATTACTAAAAATAAGCCACCCCCTGAGCAAATGGCAACAATACCTACTAATGTTTAATAAGAAGTAAAGAATCAAATTAAAGCACATGAAGAATTGGCGGAGCAGGTCATTTGCTGGTGGGCAGGTATCAGAAGAAAGTTTATGTAGATGACACTTTATTGCAATAGGCAAAATTATAAAAGGATTGTTCTTCATATTATGAACTGAAAGCGGTGGGCTGGCAGTGCTTGTCCTGATAACTAGAGAGAGGAAAACTTAAATATTATCTGAGCCAAAGCCTGGGCATAGTAACATCTGTCAGGTTTTCCATGAAGGATGGTAGAATCTAGCCTTGGGAAAAGGGGAATACACTGTGAGCATCAAAAGGAACCCAGAGTCAAAGTTGCTCTGTAAGAATCCCACAGCAAGTTCTAGACTTAACTCTGGAGGCTAGGTAACATTTACTGAGCACTTATATTGCCTCGTGGCAATGTACAGGCCCTTGGGGTGCTGCAACCCAAAAAGAAAGCCAACCCTCTTCATATCCATCTTACCCTCATGCCTGCTTGTTGTATAGTCTTCCAGCACCAAAAGATTCTTTCTCCTGGTTTCTCTTCAACCTTAATATCTGATAAGTATGACCCCATAATATCTGATTTTGACATAGAATATGTCCAAATGTTCCCATGCCAAACTTCCTGGAACCACCTTAGAGAAACAGTCCCTGCATTTTTCTGCATTTTAGAATCTCTAGGAATCTCTTAAACATTCCAACACCCAGACTACATGCAGACAAGTTAAACCACTATCCCAGAGTGAGACACAGGCATCAGTAGTCTTTGAAACTTCCCAGGTGATTCCAGTATGCAGACAAATTTGGGAATCATAGCCTTATGAAATTCAGGTAAAAACTGATTAGAGCACCCAACTAAACAATAAGCTCTGTTCCCTAAATCTATATATAAACTGCTTAAGAGATTTACAAATATTGACAGCTTAATGATATTTGTATTCATTTAAGATTTCCACAATGCATATTAAGTACACATCTGCACACACTTTCCTGATGAGAAACTAAAGCTAGTAAGTTAGTCAACAAATACAGCATGAACTTGAGGTCTCTCTGAATCCATGCTGGTAAGGGCTAACCTGACTACTATAACAAGCATTTAATTAACACTTCAGTAAGTGTTATTATGAAAATGCTTTTTGCCTGCTTGAGCCTTAAATGTTTGGGTGGAATTAGTGCTAAGCAGTACAAAGATTCCGGTTGTTCTTATCAGCTATGATTAACATGCAGACAGTCCTTGTCCCCCCTGAATTTTAGTGGACAGAAAAGGGAGAACCAACCTTTTACAGGATGGATAAGTTTAAGGGTGCGATAGAGACATTACAACATGGTACCTGTCCCAAACTCATGCCCTGTGCTGTGCTGTTCTTGCAACATTCATGCCATAATCAGTTTCCAGATTAATGTGCCCTGTTTAAAAAGCACAAAGCAGGACTCCCTGTCAGGTGACCAAAGGGCAGACTTTCTGCTGAAGTTATATCCTACTTTGCATTAGTGATATTTTTGTTGTAAACTGAATTTTAATGCTTCTTTACAAGAAACACGATCTCTGGTTCAACGCAGCTGCCCTCAACTCCTCACAGACCCTTTTATCTCATACCAGATGTTTCACACTTCTACTAGATGAGCCTGGCCTTGAGGGCATTTGAATTTGCAATGCTGGTATTTATTATTTATGCAAGTTTAACAGAGAAAGCCACTGTCACTCATTAAGACCTCACCACAAACTGATGACTTAAGCTACTGAAACATGGTTGGTAAGATTTGAACAGACCAAAAGGTATTGCAGAACAAATTATACACAGCATGACCACTTGCCAAACCAGCAAGTCTAGGGAGGGGCTGGCTGGAACAAGACCATTGAGAGATTAATAAGAGAAAGTTAACTTCAAATGCAATGGTATTTTGACTCAATTTTTACCATATTTAATACAGTCCAATGTTTACTCCTTACTAATTTGTTATGACTTTACATGTGTTTCGTATATATTTGTTAAGTGAATAGATTCATGAAGAAGTAAGAGAGACCCTCAGTGGGGTTTTGGAATACCAAAGGTCTGTAATTTTGCAACATCAAAATTTGATAAAATATTTAAAAACTATGTATACAAATACCTTATTTCATGAGTTTTTTTATCTCAAAATGTTTGTTGCAAAAAGGTGGCTGAATGGAGGAAAGAGATGATTATCTTAAGAAATATTTGGACAAAAATAGTAGCAAAAATAAATTTGGACTATTCCTCATTTATTTGTATAAGCTCTGCACTTCACAAATCCCTTGACACCAGAGAAAACATGTTCTCAAAGATATTATGGTCCAAGAAATAGTCAATTGAAGTTGTCACCAATTTTAGAAAGATAGCAATGGCATTACGATAGAGACTTGTAGGGCTAAGAAAGTAAAGTATGCAGAAGTACCAGGAATATTCTGCTTATTTTTTTTAAAAAAAATCATATAATCAAAACAAGGGGTTTTTTTTTTTAGATATATAGCATATTGTTTGGGGGAAAACTGGTTCACTTTGCTAAATTTTATTTAAGTAAAATAAAATGCCTTCTTTTTTTTTCAAACCTGCAACTTAGATTTGCCAAAATTCTTCCTTGATTCTATTATTTTTCGTTCAAACTGAAAATGTCAAAGAGAAATTAGGATAATTACAACATAAGAAAAAAAGCACTTGGGTTTTGAAAATTATTAGGTTTCATTTTTCTTCAATAGCTACAGGTTCATAGTATTTTTATGATGTATTTTAAAATCTTTACGAGAGGTGCTGTTCTTTCAATGAAAACAGATGGCTTCTCTCTAGGTTTTCTGTTTCATCTCACTCTCACTCACTTGACTCATAGGCATTACTTCTCATATAACCTCTGGTCAGTAGTCAAGAACAATTTGGAATTCTTAACACGGCCCACGTGGTGTCCTACTTTCTTTTTGTGCGTCCTTGTCTATAGCATTTAAGAAACTGTTGATGTGGACTTTATCTTCTGTTTTAACTGATATCGTTGGAAATGGCAGAGAAATTTATTTGATCTTACACTTGACCAGTAATTTCTATTGCTGTTGCATGCTTAATTGATTCCTTATGCAATATCATGTTCCAAAAGCTACTTAAGATGTTTCACTGAGCAATTTGGTAGACTAGTGAAGGATCGTGGAGGCAGGTCCAGGTCTGAGATAAAGCTTAACATATTTTGTCAGCCAAGGAAAAAAAGAAGTTATTTATTTCCTAATCAGCTTTCAGATATATAAGAGAAGAATATATCCCAAACTTAGTTTTAGGAAAACTCTTACTTAATCATTTCTTATCAAATATTGTATTCCCTGTGTTCACTCAAATTACTTTAATCTCTTGAAACATAATGAAGCTTTTATGAAGCAACAACAATAAAGCATAAATACAAGATACTTCATTGCTATAAATCTCTTTCTGATGTTTAACTAAATATGGTTAAAACACATTTAACTAAAAATGTGGCATATTCTATGAATATAAAAAACTTTACTGCTCTAAAAATACGTGGAGCAAACAACTGCTAAAGAATAGCAATTTCATAAAAACACTTAGCACTTAAGTAACCAGGAACTGCAATATCTATCTTAAACAATAATAAGATAAAACTTATTCTTTTACCTTTTTCCCATTCCAGAAATAAGATGCTTTCCACCATCTTTATCAAAAGGGAATAGGAATATAGGAATTTAGGAATTTTCTAAAGTTGAAAATCAACAGTTTGGCTGAGACGTGATGGTTATATCATTTCGTGCCTAAAAATATACTCACTTCCCCCATCTGATGACAAAATTCAACAAATTCAATTGACATGTAAGCAGAAAAAAAAATTGAACCAAAATCTATGTCTATATGCCACATTGGATTAAGATCTACTATTAAATATTTGCAAGAAAATTATTCAGTTTGTCAGAATAGTATGTGAAAACAATAAAAACTTTGGAACCAGATTGCCTGGGTTATATTCCAAGTTCTGCCATTCATACTGCCATATCTGTGTCACCTTGGGCAAGGGCAAGACACTTAACCTCCTAAGCTTCAGTGTCTCCACCTGTTTCAGGGTTTTTATGGATGGAAAATCAGTATGTATCTGATATAAAGTTAATGATACAATAAAATGAGTACTCATTAATATTAGCTGAGATTAGAACTTGAAATATGAAGCTATGTGCTTCTTTTGTAGTACTTCTGGAATTAGTCGAATGACTCCCCTGAACATTTCTTTTACCTTTTAGTTAGCACCTCCTGCAGGCCCACCATGATTCTAAAATATGTGTGTGTGTATATGCACTATTCTTAAGTATATATAAATATATACTTAAGAATATAATTAACGAATCAGGGGTAGGTTGAGGTCAAAATGGTTCCATAAATATAATGTATATATTGTATTTATATAAATACAATATATACATTATATTCATATAAACATAATGTATATATATTTATGTGACACCATATTTATATTTATATTATATACATTATAAATATAATTATAAATATAAATATATTTATATTATATATAGTATATATAAAAATTTATATATAAATATTATATATATAAAAATTATATATGATATAAATATTATATATAAAAATTTATATATGATATAAATATTATGTATATAAAAATTTATATATGATATAAATATTATATATATAAATTTATATGATATAAATATTATATATAAAAATTTATATGATATAAATATATATATAAATTTATATATGATATAATTATATATATAAAAATTTATATATGATATAATTATAGATATAAAAATTTTTATATTATATAAATATAATATATAAATATAGAAATTTATATATGATATAAATATTATATATAAATATATAAATTTATATATGATATAATACATATAAATATATAAATTTATATATAATATATATATTTATATGATATGATTATATATAAATATTATAAATATAATTATATATAATATAAATATGATTATACATTTTATATTTATAATTATATATATAATTATATTTATAATATATAATATAAATATAATTATATTTATATATATTTTATAAATATAATTTTATATATATTATGTAAATATAAATATATAAATAATATAAATATATAATATACATTTATATTATATATTATATATTTATGTTTATAATATAAATATATATTATATCTATAATATAAATATATGATTAATATAATATATATTACATATTTAAATATATAATATATATTATATTTATAATAATGTTTATATATAAATATATACTTATATTTATATAATATATTATGTAATATAATATAATATATAATGTTTATAATATATATTATATATTAAATGATATTAAATATATATTATAATATATAATATATTAAATATAATATTATATATTATATATAAACATTATTCTAAATATGTGTATTTAGAATAGTTCTCGGCCCACAAGAGGCACTAAATAAAAGGTGAAAGAAATGTTAAGGGAGCCATCCAACTCCTAAACATACTACAAAAAAGCACATAGCTTCTTTTTTCAAGTTCTAATATGAGCCTATATTAACAGCCAGCTCTCATTTCATTATATCATTGACTTTCAAAGAGGAAAAAATCAAGTATCAATGCCTCCTGGGCTTTATTCAAAGTTCTTCAGGTAAATGGTGGATAAATACTGCTTTAAACATGGACACAGGAAGGGGAACATCACACCTGGGGACTGTTGTGGGGTGGGGGGAGGGCGGAGGGATAGCATTAGGAGATATACCTAATGCTAAACGACAAGTTAATGAGTGCAGCACACCAACATGGCACATATATACATATGTAACAAACCTGCACGTTGTGCACATGTATCCTAAAACTTAAAGTATAATAATAATAATGAAAAAAAAAAGAAAATTCCATCAAAAAAAAAAGGTGCGGAACTTTACGTTAGAAAAATCATAAAGAATATGTGGACAAAGGAGGTACCCAACTAGAGGAAGTATAAACTAAGTAATAGAAATAAAGTATAATGGAATTGGAAGAAGCTGAAACTAAGTTGGGGATGAAAAAGATGAAAAATGAGCATCCCCTGTCTCTGGTGGGAATGTCTTTCTATAAGAGATGTCCTCAGTTTCTTTCATATCTTAATGTAGTTCAATTCAATACCTAGGTGAATTTTCCTAGGTGCCTTTCATATTCTTGGTGAATATGAATATAAAATTTATATTCCACAAATTTTTAATAAATGAATATAAATTGCATACATATACCTATCACATACTATGGAATTATTTGATATTTTGATGGGCATTGGCATTAGGAGACTTACAGTGAAAGCCAGAATTTTTGCCTCTGTTCTTAAGTGTCTATACATTATAGTACAACCTTTTTTACCCGGAAATCCTTTTTTATTCCAGGTCATATTCTATTTTTTTAATTCCAAAAGTCATGAAAATTAAAAGACTCTTGATCATCACTTAGGATGCTATCTGAACACAGGAAGTTAGACTCTCCTGCCTTATTAATTTTTTAGCTGGAACTTATTATTTTGAAGGAACATGAAACACAAAGCTAAAATATTTATAGAGACATTAAAATATTTATACATGCAAAAGCAAAATGACCACATTTACTTCCCTCAAAACTTCCTAATGAGCAAAAAAGAAATGCAAAAAATAATTTCCCTTTTATGCTCTTTGCTTCAATCAAATGATCAAACAAACTGATTATTATTAATTTTTTTTGGCAAGTGTGGGTGCCACTAAATCTGCCGTCCTTGGGTTTTGTCTGTGCGATGGTCCATGTTGGTGTCCCACTCGCAACCTCTTGACCTACTGGAGCACTCCATTGCCCAAGAGCACAGTCCCAGGAGATCAGGCTGAGGGCAGACTTTATGTGACACCATAGAACTATATCTTTGCTTGCCTCCTTCTCTTTCTCTCTCCTGTTTCTCTCATCTCTTACAGATTCCCCAAGAGTACTTCCTCTTTAAATCTTGTGCCCCTAAATCCCTGATGCATGCTTTTTTTCTTAGAGAACCTCACATAACACGAAATCTTTATAGAAAGATAGTGTATTAATTAAATGCTTGATCCAGTTTGTATTTTCACTGTATAAGTAATGAAATGGAACATACGAATGTACCAAACATGAGGTTAACTAATCAGGGGTAGGTTGAGGTCAAAATGGTTCCAATGAACAGGCAGAGAAAGACAGCAAAAGAGAAAGACCCAGAGGAATGTTCAGCTCTTAGGTCCAGCTCCCATGGCTAAATATCTGGTTTGCACCCTTCCATTTCTCATATACATGTGTCCAATGAGTTTGCTCATCCTGGCCTTCTATTCCAAGTTTCATGGTTTAAATTTTTTTTCTATTATGAAGTTCAATTAAACTGTTATTGCTACTTTATTTCAAGTGCTAAATCAAATTCAATTATGCTTCTTATTCTGTCATTTTGAAACATCAGTAGAAGAGAAATAATTAGAAAATTGGCACTGATTATAATATGCATTGTCAAACTCAATTCCAGACAGAATAACAAGCTAGATGCTGGTTATATTCCAGGTTACTGTTCATTCACACACTTAGTGTTTGTGAAATAGTCCACAAAATAGTGACATGTATAAACTAGAAAATTTTGAACTAAACTATTTTTAACTTGATAAAATGAAAATAACACAAACAGTTAACTCCTTTCCTAAATAAGTGTGCAATAAGCATAAAATGACAATTAAAAACATCACCACATTTTAGGTTGTATGTTTATATAATTATAAATTTTATTTCATATTATCTATATTTAAGCTAGAAGGAATACTTTATGCTCAAACACTGCAGAAATATTTCCTCCCTCTATTCTGTTCTAGAGTTGTAAATGAATATTGACCCTTGATGTAATGGTATTTACTCTCAAGTATATGCCATTCTTTAATTCTCTCTGTCCACTGAAATTTAACCAATTTTCTATCTTACGTAGTAATCTCTTCTTGCTCACATGACTCAAGGGACATATCTCAACCCAGCTTCCTTCTGCCCCAGAGCTGGGATCAACACAGTGCCACTGAGAGCAGTAATGACCATTCGAAGAATGCACTGGCAGGATCTGCAGAGCTCAATCTTTTCTTTATACTCTTTGCCATTTACACTCAAGAATGACATCACCATTTTGGGAGACTTACACTGGCAATTCATCACTTCCATTCAAGAGTGTTCACAAGCATGTGTCCCTGTGGTTCTGGGAACAAATTTAGTGTGAAGAAGTGCATAGCCTGGTTGAGGTGGGGTAGGGAGAGGAGCAAAGCAGGGTTAATATATATGATACCCTGAACAATATAGCTGACCTCCTTCCACCTTTATAGGATTCTAGAATGCTCATTTTACAATAATAAGTCACAAAACTGAACCAGAAAAAAGAAATGAAACAGTGCTTATGTGCTGTTATGATCTATTTATTCTTTAAATAAATATTTCTTGAGCACCTATTTTATACCTGGTTCTGTGTTGGGTGTTAGGAATATAATTATAAATATGATTGACATTGTAACTCCCCTCAAGAAGCTTCTAGTCAAGTCAGGAAGAGTTTTTAACTTTTTCTCTTAACTAGTATGAACAGTCTTTTGAAGCAAAGATAATAGCAGTATAAATATTAATGATAAAATCTCTCTGAAAAAATACAAAGTGTATGAAAAATAAGACAGCAAAAATTGTCACTCAAATATTTAGACAGATATTGCAGTACTTATACATAAAATAGACACAGTTAAAATAGAAAGGTAAAATATATTTCTAAAAAATACCTTTTTTCTAAAATCAACACATTTTTTCTAAAATCATATTCTTGCTAGATCCTCAATACAGAGAAATAATTCAGCAAAAATTACAACTTATTTCTTACTATATTCCAACTACAAAGGCTATGTTTTATTAATCCAAAAGCATTTTTAGTGGTTAAGCTTGTCTGGCTCTAATGAAACTCCAACTTTCAAGGGGAAAAAAAGTCCATTAAAAATCACACATAATTTTATAAACAGACGGTCACTATAAATGCCTTAAATAAAAGTAAAGCCAACTGGCAAACAACTAAACTGACTTTTTCCTGTTTTATGTGTCTACAACATCACTTTATGGTAAAGCCTTTGCTAGTAGTGGCACATATACATAAATTCCGACAGATAATCCTAGGGCTACTATGTTAAAGCCATGCAATGTCCTGTGACTGTTAGAAGTTGATACACACAGTATACGGTTTTCAGGTTGAAGGATGCTTTATGATGACTTCAGTGTTGGCTAACAGAATTGTCTTTTTCTTTTTCTTTTTTTTTTTTTTTTTGAGACAGAGTCTCGCTCTATCACCCAGGCTGGAGTGCAGTGGCACAATCTCAGCTTACTGCAACCTCCGCCTCCCAGGTTCAAGCCATTCTGCTGCCTCAGCCTCCTGAGTAGCTGGGATTGCAGGCATGTGCCACTATATCCAGCTAATTTTTGTATTTTTAGTAGAGATGGGGTTTCACCATGTTGGCCAGGCTGGTGAGCTCCTGACCTCAAGTGATCCACCCGTCTCAGCCTCCCAAGTGCTGGGGTTACAGGTGTGAGCCACCGCGCCCGGCCCAGAGTTGTCTTCTTAGGTCATGGCTCAGTTTTACCTTATCTATACCCCTCACCCCAACAAGAACCTCAAACCTGGAGTCTGATGCCCTGGTTCTATTGTGAGTCATACCATTTACTTCTGTAAGATGGAAGCAACTAGAACAGGATGTACCAGGGGCTAGAACAGGGGATTATTAGGCATAGATCAGCAGAAGTGCTTCTTCTCTCTGGCATTAAATTAAGGGCAGAAGCAAGTGCCATCATGATGTCCTTGGAATCCCCTGCCACCTTAGACCTCATCAGAAGCTGAAGCAGCAATGGCAAAACTGGGGTAATGTGATATGGAACTGGCCAACTCTCCTCCAGCTTCTGACTTAATGGCACAGTGCACGGGTGGATACCTGGAAATGGTGTCTCGTGAGACACCCCATGTTGTTTTATTTACAGCTTCATGACAGCGCTTTTCTCTGATCCTGCCCATAGCAAAGACCCAGCTCAATGTGGATTACATCGCTCAGCACTTTACGTATTTCTTACATATTAACCTATTTTAAAAACCTATTTGACAAAAGAATTAGTACCCTTAACCCTGAGTTATATATCTCTTGTCCTCTGCATGGGGAGTACCACAGAGCCAGGAAAAGTCAGAGCTGCCTAAGAAACTGGACCCAGCAGAGCTTGAAGCTCTGTAATGTGAGGGCCAAAGATACTTCTCATATTGGTTGACACCATCCTTATCTTTGGATCACATTAATATTGATATGCCTTTTAAAACTATGAAAAAGTTTTGAATTATTTCCATAAAAGAAAAATCCTCCATTTCAGAAATATATAAAAGACACACTTTGATTGTTAATGTAAATAGTTGCTTTTCCATGACAGTCACCCTCATCATTGATATTCATTTCACGATGAGAATCCTATAGACAGATGAAGGTCAAGGCTACGTTAGACTTCTCTCATGAGGGAAAATATTATTTTTTTAAATGTTATCAATATACACATATGTAGACATATAAATATTTATACAGAAACTCACTGCCCAATCAGTGAATAGAAATGGGAATAGAAATGATGTGCTCTGGGAATCCTCCCTGTGTGACTATATTTTAAAATCAGGAGCACTTGGTATTTCCTTTGCTATTTCTATCCCTGTGTCTAATGTGGAAAGGTCAATGTTTCATATAACATAGCATAAAGAGACTTTGGATTCTCTTCCAGCTTACAGAAAGGCCCCAGGGGGTTAGGTGACTTAAGATCACATTGTGAGGTTCAACCTAGAACACGGTTTTCTTGACTCTCAATCCAGTCTTAGTTCTGTGATGTAGCAGTAATCTCTCATATAGAAAAAAGTGAAGTTATCAGGTTAGCTAGTAGAAATATAAGACATTAAAGCAGTAAAATTAGAAGAAACTATGAAGGTCAGCCAGACCTTGAAAGGAGACAAAGATCACAGGCTGAACTGTGGAATTATTTGTACTCCCCTTAGCCAGATGAAAGTGGCAGACAAGTGCAGAATAGAAATCCAACCAGGAAGGGTTAAAGGTCTTTGGTCAAAACTCTACCATGCATTTTCCTCCTAAGGGTGCTGCAGCAATTGGACCCCTCCCTATGGTTAAAAAAGAAAAAAGGCTAATTTAAAAAATAATAATAATGAACCAATAAAGAGAGGCAGAGCTGTATATGGTACAGAAAGCAACATCTTGAAGAAATGGCTGGGGAAGAATTGGATAGAATTGGGTTAGAAACAAACAATGTTGCCATAGTGGAAAAGAAAATGATTTATGTAATAAATGGCTGGCATGAGCCTGCAAACTTCAGCTCCTAGGTCCTGCTGGTTCATTGTTTCTCCTCTAACTTTTGTCAGGTTCAGTATAAGACAAAAGTCAGGAAGCAATGTACCATATCATCTTAGCCTCCTGCATCATTGGCGATTGAAATAAACTCCAGACACTCTGGACCCCAGGCCTGGGATAAGGTGGGCTGCTCACACTTATGGGGCTCAGGAAGTCTAGGCATCCTGAGGTTTGGATCAATGACTTGGCCCTTGCCATCCCCTCAAAGGACTGAGCCAAGCTAAAGTGATGAGAAGCCCCACAATGTGCACAATGAAGCACTTATGTCTACCTTATACGTTAGCATTTTAAGTCACATCACAGGGCCACACATTTAAGCTTTACAGAAAATATGTAACACAGGAAGGAACTATTAATCCTATTTGATAAATCTGCAAACTGAGCCTCCGAGAACTGTTCATTATTTGTAGGAAGGTCGAACCATAGGTGGTCAGGTCAGATAATTCAAATTCCTGGACTCTTAATCTAGTTATCTTTTCCATCTTATTAAGCAGATTTGCCACAAAGTGATGTCAAAATCACAATGCATAATTAATGTCAAAAAATTTTTTTAAACATCCCCTCAAATTTCAAGGAAGTTACGTTTTTCAAAGTTTATGTATCTCCTCCTAAAAAGCTTTTTCCAATGGAAAAAAGAAATTTTTCTTTTTTATTTTCTTTTTGAGACGGAGTCTCGCTCTGTCGCCCAGGCTGGAGTTCAGTGGCGCGATCTCGGCTCACTGCAAGCTCCGCCTCCCAGGTTCACGCCATTCTCCTGCCTCAGCCTCCCGAGTAGCTGGGACTACAGGCGCCCGCCACCACGCCTGGCTAATTTTTTGTATTTTTAGTAGAGATGGGGTTTCACCGTGTTAGCCAGGATGGTCTCGATCTCCTGACCTCATGATCCGCCCGCCTCGGCCTCCCAAAGTGCTGGGATTACAGGCGTGAGCCACCGCGCCCGGCCCAGAAAAAAGAAAATTCTCATGTGAGGCAGCCTGTTCTCAATGTCTAGTTTATTCTAATTGCTATTTCTAGAGATTACAAATAAATCATTTTTCAAGTTTACATTTTAAAGTTAATGGAATAGAATCCATACAGTAATCTGTTAACATTCTAAAAATCAACAGAGGTAGGTGGAGGCTCAAAAACAGGCCATACAAACCCTTTGGTAGTTACTTGATACTCTTCCTGGATGTTCTCAGTAGGAGCAGTTAAGCTACAACTGCTTCCTGATCCTGGAAAGCACCTGTTCCAGGTAAGAAGCAATCAATAGAAATGGCAGGAACTCTTTTGTTCCTACCTACAATATCTACCTACAATATCTGGGACATATCTGCAGGGACATGTCCATGCCAAGTCTTGTCTGAGTCAGGCATTATCTGCCTTCTGGTATATCTCCTCATTTTCAAGTGAATAGACTGACAAAGGTAATTAGAATCAACTGCATTTATGAACGGTATTAATGAAGTGCTCCATTTTTATGGGAGTTATGTTCTTTGCATTTTGTGAGTCTCTCATAAATTTATAGAACCCAGAGCCTTCTAGCAACATGCTATCTTTAAATTTTAACCCAATGATTAAAAACAGAAGATACTTTATTGACAGATGAGCTCAGCAGGAGACATGTTTGTCTGTTTGTTCCAGGCTTATAGTAACAAGGAGTAAGAAAATACAAAAGAGATTAAAAGAGATAATACTCAGAACTCAGTTACCATTATATTAGTAGTTCCAATGAGGAAAATAAATGTAGAAAATGATTTCTTAAATTGCTAAAAAAAATATTTCATATGGTCTTCTGAGACAGGCCAGACCACATTCCTTACCTGAAAATTGTACATGCCTTAAGAAAAAGCCAAAATTATTTAGACAAACAAAATTATTTGTAACTTCACAGGGAGAATTTCTATTAATGTTATGACTGTATATGTTTATATGCTCAAACATACATGTGTGTTTAGATAGGTAGATGATAGATAGATAGATCGATCGACAGATTCTGGTGGAGTGCCATTACTTGTATTCTAATTGCATTGATTTTTTTTCTGAGGTCCACAGATATTGGATATAATCTCTGGAATTATCTTTACTCATAAATTTGTTTCACTCAAAGAGAGGTAATTATTTTACTCTACATCATCAAAAGCAGTGTCTGTCCAACACTGTGAACATGTCTTCCGTTTGATGTTTGAAATGGGTGAAGTTAAAATTTTCTTACCATCCAAGCTGTGACAAAGTCCCCCATCCAGGTCCCTACTGCAGCTAATTTCATGAAACTTTCATTTCGGATGCCCATATAGTCTGTAATGATATATGCTCTGTGGAAACAAACACACAAGACATTGTCCGGACTCAGAGAGTCATACAGTTAAGGCTTTCTGGTTCAGCAACAGGCAAAGGGACTTCTCCCATTCTCAGCAAGCTGTCTGGCTCTTGTCCCATCACATATGCTTACAAATCTGGAAGTCTAAGAAGAGCTCTCAGGGTGTCTGGGTCATTTTCAATTATACTTGAAGACTGAATGTGGCTCCACCAATTACCATGTGCACTTCATATTTGAGCTGTACGACTAATGACAGCTTTTGAAAAATCAAACAGAAATACTCAGCAAAGGTATTATTGCATGCTCACTCAAGTATGAGCAGAGCAGAAACACTTCCTAAATTGGAGTAACTTCAAAGAGGAGAGAAGAGCTAACTTTCCTTCAGTTCCATCAAATCAAAACAATTGGAAAAATGCTGGGATTAGGCTTTAGATATAACATCATACCTGAATAACGTTCAGAATAATATCAAGATTTAAGAAAAATTTCCATGCATAATAAAGCAGTATGAAATTTGATCCAAATATGTGTGATTTAAATTATTACTGAAATATAAATAAGAGAATGTAATTATACCATTTACTTTTTGTATAGCTAATTCCTATTTCCACTGATCATTAAATATTAGTATTAAGACCATGCTTACTGTTCATCAGGCATTTTCATTTAATATTCAAGAAAACACTAATTATTATTTTTCTAATTTTGCAATTTCTCTGAAAAAACTGGGACTCAGATCACATAACTCGCCCTATTCATATCATATAACTAACAAATGGTAGCTAGGTGACAAATTTCTCTCTCCCTCTTTTAGTTTTTATTTTACTCTTAAGTTTTTGTTCACTTAACTACTTTTATCTTAAATTTTGCTCCTTTTCTTATACATAATAATACCTGTACAATTTAGAGTATTGGTAAAACTTAATTCTTCTTAATTTTAAAATACATCCAATAGATAATGATTGTTCATTATTTATCTACTGAAATTATGAAGAAACATGTTTTTGAAGTCACTGAGAGGTAAACTATCTCCAATTCAGTCTTTTCTTTTCTGGAGTTATTTCAGATGGTTCTGTTATCCATAAAATAAACAGATATTTAACTAGTTTTATTTAACAAAAAAAGCAAACTTAAAAATTCTTAACATAACTCTTTTTCAACAGACTTCATTCACCTACCTTGGAGGCTCTCTGTAAGTGTTTTAAGGACAACCCCAAAATTCTGGATCTCCAATTCCATGGACTTTGATAGTAGCCCAAAATTTATAGCTACCATAAATTGCATGCTTATAAGGTGCCAAAGATAGTTATTACCACTTTAAATACAGTGTATACATCAACTCTCACACTGGTACAATGAAATGTATTATTATTCCTAATTCACAATATGAAATTGAGATTTACAGAGTTTTTGCAACTTGCTTAAGGTCAAGCATCTGGTAAATGGACAGGATTTAAATTTAAACTTGATTGACTCACAAACGCAGAAATTTAACCACTAAGCAACATCTTCTTCTTATAAGTGTTAGTGAAGATATAAAACACAACAAATATCTACTCTGTCCACAAGTAGCTTAGTAGATGATAAAAATTAAAACTTATTTCCCTTTAAGATAAATCCTAATAAGAAGTCAAGAATAGTATGCAGAACCTTTAGCTCTCCAGAGCAACCATCAAGTCTTGAGTTTCAATTCATGTTGAATTCACCAATCAAAGTGGCGTCCACTTGAAAGCCCCCAAGTTATTCACTTGGACAACTTGGTGTAGCACCATTCAGTACCACAATCACTGAACAGCTCTTGGTCAGTGAACTCAACATTACTATAAAGGATTAGCTCTGGTAATTGCCCAGTTCTTTCAATGATACCTAATTTGAAGAACTTGTTCAATGCCCCACCTGTCCACTTTTCCAATTAGTTCTAGAATATCTTGGGGTAGAGTGGAAATTTTAGGGTATATTCCCTGTAATTGCATACATTTGTATAAGAGAAGGTATCATTCTTTTATTTTACTATCTAAAAATAGAGACAGGCGGCTGGATACACTTGCAACAGATCAATCATCCAGCTAATAACTAAAAAAATAAAAACCAAAACCACGACCACACTCTGGGGCTTTTCAGAGGGAAAAGGGTGGGAGGAGAGAGAGGATCAGGAAAAATGATTAATGGGTACTAGGCTTAATACCTGAGTGATGAAACAATCTGTAAAACAAACCCCCATGACACGAGATTATCTATATAGCAAAACTGCACATGTACTCCTGAACTTAAAAGTTTTTTAAAAATGCAAAAAATGTCACAAATTTGGTATCATGGAGGTTACTGACAAAAGGAGTTTTAATGAAGTGGTGCTACTGTACATGTGTATACAATTTGAATATATGTTAATCAAAAGTGTTAACACTGTTTAAATAATCAAAAAATTAAAATTGTTGAGGCAATGAAGACTAGAAAAATCAAGATACCAGATTAGAGAGAACTGTGGAAAGTTAGAACTGTGAAGAACAGACAACATTGGAAATTTAAGGAGCCAAGATCCTAGTGAGGAAGGAGAAACCCAGAAGACAGCATGACACACAGCTGGTTGCCTTTCAAGACACTTGCCAAACCTTTCTGAACTTGTACAGGAAGGAGACTAAAAGACTAAGTAAAATCTCTAAAGAGCATTAGGGAGGTTTGGCAACTTCCTTATATTGAGGACTCTATTAGAGTTCAGAACCAGCTAGAGAATGTGGTCCAAGAGAATACAGCCCTCTGGAGGGCTACAGAAAACCAGAGATGGATGAATCCTTGATGAAAGTATAAACCAGCCCTTACCCAGGCCATTTGATGACCAGATTGTGGTGAACAGCTTCTACTGTCTCCACTTAACAAAGGAAAAAGTAAATGTTTTGTGGAAAAATAAAATTTTGTTTTATCCTCTACACACTTTTATACATAATATCTGTCCATCATTCAAAAATTACTAGGATGTCAAGAAACAAGCTCCTATCACTGAAAACCAAGAGAAAAAACTGTCCAGAAGAATAGGAAGCTATTTTGGCTATCTTGTCTACTGTTGATTCTCCAGTGGAGAATTAATAAATATTTGTTTAAATTATGATTTAATAAAGTGACCCAAATCATTCATATTTATTTATATATGGCATGGGTAGATCTCCATACATTAAATCCTAGAAACAGCAATAAAATGAGATTGAATCATGAAAAACTTTTCCATGGAGGAAGATATTAAAAACTTCTAAAAATTGTTTTGTGTGTTCACTTTATCTCTCCAGCTACATTTATAGCTTCTTGACTGACTGGAAGATAACTGTCCTGTATTCACCCAGAGTAATATATCAGCACAAAATAAAGTATCCTTGCCTGTGGCTGTGGACATATGATAAGTGCTAGATGCTATAACAATGCAGATGAGATAGTACTGACAACTTATGAAATAACTAATATACTTAAAAATGAAGAATAATATATAAAGACTAGTCATTCAGTAATTATTCTTATTTTTGCTGCTTTGGATAAATATGAAGAAGAATTACAAATATGCAGACCTGTCATAAAAATTTTCAGCTACTATTTCATTCATTTGCATATCCATTAACATTTAACAAGATTTCCTGGTTGGATTGTAAACAACAAGACAGGCATATATTTATATCAGCAATTTTAGCCAGTTTGAATATCACATTGGACTCTAGAAAAGTGAAATTGTGAGGTTTCATATACCTACTGATTTGGGCAAGTAATTCAGAATTAAACTTTATTTGCTAAGAGGCACAATTAAAGTTATTTTGTTTGGTGCATTAGCTGATTATTTTAACAACTCATACATCCTTTGTTTTCTTTTATGCTTTATTTGTTTTCTTTTTTCCACTATCTAGAAAATCTTGCAGTTCTACCAGCCTTCTAAGTAACTATTGATCATTGATATAGGCTTTTAAGATCCTAAATAAATTTTTTCTCAGCCTCTAACTTCAATTATTTTTTCCTCGAGATTTAAACCTTAACCATCAAATCCATAACAAACGTGGAGATTTCAATATACAAGATCTGGAAAAGGCTAATTATCATAACATCTTGACAATACGAGATACCAAGCCTATTAAAACCTGTTGCAAAATGACTAAACTAAACAGACTCTAACATGAGCAAAATAGTCAATAAAACTATAATATAGTGAATTGGTCTTACAGTAAGGGTCTTGATCACTAGCAACAAAAGTTCCAGTTCACTTCAGTCTATTAGTCATACATAAGTGGTTGCAGTCAATGCCAGGTGATTTAGTGGTTGAGTCTGAATTTTAACAGGAGGCAGTACACACAGATCACCAAACCAATATGGATCCATACTTCACTGAAAAACCATCTGTGGCCAGCTGGATTCATAATGTCACAGCTGTCTCTCTCAGCCATGTTTGGACAACATAAATAAGATTGGGGGCTTCACACACAAGTAAATCATGGGCGAGGAGTTGACTTGCATGAGTACAGGTCTGCATTAAACACACTAAAACTAAAGCAAAAGCTCTAAGGATTCTTAAGGCATTAAAGTGAAAATTTGTCACTACAAAATGCCAGGAACTAAACCTAGATTTTTAAAATTAACCTTTCCTCAATCATTTTGTGTTTGTAGTGAAATGATTAACTAGATTAATGACTCCAGTCACTTACTCGACTATTATCCAAATAACCACATTTTAGTATATTTGCTCAAAATCTCTAGTTCTTGATTTAAAATACTTTGATGGAGCTCAATACATGTGTAAGGACCTTCCAGGCCAGACCTATGGTTTGAGGCTATGGGGCAAGATCCCCTGGAATGTCACAAAAAAGCTGCAGACAATTGTTAGCTGTAGCCTGTAATGATTAAAATTGCATCTGAACCTAACAATGGTCACTGATAAAATTCCAACTCAAATTTCCTAACTTTAGCCATTAATTCCCTCTAAGTTCTATAAGGAAGACATATCTAAGAAGACGGGAGACAGAGTATCATTAACCAAGCCCACCCTCACTGTGAATACATCCAGCATACATCAATTCTTTCTTCCATTTCTTGCCTTACTTCAGCCCATTCAGTGAAATTCATTTGTGCTGTATACAGAAACATTAGTATTACATCAATTTCTCCCTTTCCTTTACTCTCAACATTAGTGATTAATCACTAATGTTACTTCTGAAAGGCTCTCAAATCTATGCTGTTTTTCTGTCATCACCACTATCAATGTCTAAATTCTGTCCATAATCATCTCTAATCTGAAACTAAAGTAATAATTTCCTATTCTATTGTAACTATTTCCACCCACAGTAAATTCTTTATTGACACTATGGGGATTTCTAGCAAAGAAACAGGGCATACTGGAGAAGCAGAAGTCCTGGAACCAGAAAAGATTAAGCTTGCAACCCACCCCATACCCCCATGACTTGGGACAAATGATCAACTTTGATAATCATCCATTTCCTTATCTATATAGTGGGAATAAAAATACCTTTCCTTCCCAGGGGTTTATTGGGGAACACATGATATAAAGTATGCAAAGCTTCTAGTACAACTATTTCATAATATGCATGTAAAAAAAGGTAAACTTCTGGCCTACTGGCTTCCATTTTTCAAAATAATATTGTGGTCCCCAATGTCACAGGGTAAAGCATGTGATATGGTTTGGCTGTGTCCCTACCCAAATCTCATCTTGGATTGTAACTTCCACAATTCCCACGTGTTGTGGGAGGGACCCAGTGGTAGGTAGTTGAATAAGTGGGACTGGTCTTTCTTGTGCTCTTCTCGCAATGGTGAGTGGGTCTCATGAGATCTGATGGTTTTAAATAGAGGAGTTCCTCTGCACAAACTCTCTCTTTGCTGGCCGCCATCCACGTAAGATGTGACTTGCTCCTCCTTGCTTTCCACCATGATTGTGATGCCTCCCAGCCATGTGGAACTGTAAGTCCATTAAACCTCTGTTTCTTCCCAGTATCAGGTATGTCTTTATCAGCAGCGTGAAAATGGACTAAGACAACATGGATAAGAAGAACCTCCACTCTGCAAGGCATCTTCATTTTTAGACTCATCTCCTTACATTTCAGAATCTCCTTCTTTCAGGCCCTCCTCCTACTAGGAAATCAATCTCACCAATATACCACCATTTCATAATACACTTATAATGGCTGCCCAGAATGCTCTCTTTATTGTCCCATGCCAATCCCTGTCTTCTGGCTTGAGATTACTAACTCAGTCTGTCCACTGAGAAACCTACTGCCATTACTTTTGAAAGTTATCGCTTCCCTAGTGTTGTCATAATACTTTGACTATACCTCTATGTTAAATCATTTTCCCAGAGTATTTTAATGATTTTCTTACATTGCCCTTCTCTCCCATAAGATTTGCTTCATCAAGGGTAATAAACATGTATCTTTTTTTTTTTTTTTTGGCAAATGAAATTCTTGGCCCAGGGTATAGTATGTTTTAGGAATGCAATAAATAAGTAAATGAATTAAGTAGTAAATTACTTAAATCATTTGACATCAGGGCCAAAGTAGGATGAGTATAAAAGCATAAAAGGTAAAAACAAGGATTTGCAATACAAGATAAAATAAAAGCAAACATCAAAGACAAATTGTGTGCCATGTAATTATGATGCTCTAACAAAGTTAGAATAGAGCGTTATTGTATCATTTTTATTACCTCTTCTGGAATAAAAAGCTAGAGGCTAGAATATAAATAAATCAAAATAAAGAACATATCTTTGACTTTCTGCAACACATGCTGTAAATTTACTTACTTCGAACGTCAGTTGAATAATTTAAAAAGTAAAATATTGAAAATCTACTTAATCATATTAAAGTATTTTTTAAATGAGATTACTTATCAATACATGATTTAGTGCACCAATTTGCTGGCACAAACAATACCAGAGCTACACAGTAAAACACATTTATTTTATCCATATGAAAAAAAGGAAACAAAATATATTCCACTGCCCTTCAAATGGATACTGTAAAACTACATTTGTTGTGTGTCTTTTAAAGTCAAAATATAAAGGTCTATAAGGTTAAAAAACAATATAGCCTCAAAACTAATTCTAAAGTCCCAGATTTTGTGTGGTTATATCCCAAGTTTCTTTCATAGTTTAATTCTTTTCTTTTATCAACTTCCCAAACACTCCAGGAATATGCAATCTAATTTGATGCTCTGAATAGTTCTGTCTTCTACCTCTAATGAAGTAAACAAATACAACAAAGAGACTTCATTTATCTTCACTAAAGTTATTAGAAAAATGATACAGATAACCAAGCTTTAAAATCCTGAGCTTGTTGCTAAGAGAACCCCAATAAATCCCCAAAGGAATCCAGAGAGTCACAAATTACCTGAAAGTAATTTCATAATTAATTTAGTCACATTTTAATGTTAAATAAAATTAAGTGTTTAGAACTATTCAAGTAAAATATATACAATGCATTGCCATAAGTTTTTATTATTGTAAAAGGGAATTGTAAGCTAAGCCAGAATGGCATTCATTAATTTACCCTATATAATGATTCTTCTATCTAAACTAATTAGAAGGGCATAAAATAACTTACAAGTTTTGCAAAGATTTTGATGCTGTTCAAAGTAGAACAAAAACCAAGTTCAATTTTAATGGGTATGTGTCAGTGGAGGCAAGTGTTCATGGTTGCAAATGATCAAAATAATGGAATAAAAACAATGGGACATAAATACAATAATTAACAGTTGCCAGGAACTATAATTTGTCCACTGTATATAATAAAATGAAGAAACCTGAAAAATGAGACTGTTCTTGTATTTCCTACAAAATTTTCAAATTCAAAGCAATTGTGACAATTTCTTTTCTTTCTCTTCTCTCTCCTCCTCCTTCTTCTTCCCTTTCTTCTTTTCGTCCATCTTCCTCTGGATATGAATTCAACCACCTCTTTTTCTCTTCCCTGTAGCTACTCAACACTATTTCCCAATGATTTACTCCATATTCCTGTTGAAACAATTTTAGGCTCCAGTGATATGGGGAAGGGAGAAGGGAACTGTCTTTTTACCCAGGAACCTTATTGCAGCATGTAAATTTATATTGGATAAGCACCTATCTTAATTTATATTCATTTATTCATTAAACAAATAATTACTGATGTCTCACTGCATGCTAGACCATGACCCTGATACTTGTAAACTCATAAATTCTCAAGGGAAAGAAAATAGCACCCCAGAGCTAGTGGTCCCATCTTGGATTATCACTCAGTGCCTGTTTTCTAGTAATTTATTCCTGCCATTGGGGTAAGCTTATGGAGACATATACAATGATGCCCAACTCTGCTATTGTTTCCTTTTCTGGTAATTTAGAACCAATACAAAAAGAGAGAAAGAAGGAAATATCTTTCCTGGAGGTTATATGAGAAAATAACCCAGTGATTGTTGGAGACCACAGTTTTATCCCCTGTAATCTGCAGACAAAGCAAGAGAAGGAAAGAGAGTGAGAGTGGCAGAGAGTGAGAGGGCAGGCAGAGGATGAAAGCTGGCTGACATATGCAAAGGAGAGAAGACAGGAAAAAACATGGGTGGTGTGTCAGTCTAATTCCAATGCCTTCCTGGGACATGCATACCAGCACTTTGGATTCCATGGGACATCCATGTTGCTTCCTAAGAATCACTGTTCCCTACCTTATCTTTGTTCTTGAGCTAACGTCACCGAGATTATATTCGTTGCAATGAAAAGCATTGTAAATATTCACCCAGGAAAGAGGGTAGAGTCTAAAATTGTGGTTCTGAGTATTTTGTTCAATTTTAACTGTGCAACCATTCTTCTAGCCTTTTAGAAATAAATGACACTAAATTGGCTATACAAAAAAAGCCATCAGTGTAGTTGGTAGACTGAGGTTGGTTCTCAAATTATTCCTAATTAGAACGAAGATAAACAGATGTGCCCACACTTTGTGGCACTGCTCTAGGAAATGGGGAATTTAACTTTTGTTTAAATCTAATGTACTGTTTCCGCATATAAATTTCACAGGTGTCCTGAAATTTAGAATAGCACTCCCCTCTCTCTCCAGTTAAAAAATGTGATATATGGTCCAGTTAAGACCAATCTGTTAAGCCTGGGAAACATAGTGCACCACATCTCTACAAAACCAAAAAATTAGCCAGGCTTGGTGGCACATACCTGTAGATCAAGCTACTTAGAGACTGAGCTAGGAGGATTGCTTGAGCCCAGGAGGTCAACGCTACAGCGAGCAAGCCTTGATTGCACCACTGCACTCAAGCCTGGGCAACAGAGTGATAACCTGTCTCAAAAACACAAAAACAAAAACCCCAAAAGACCAATGTGTCTCCGTTTTGAGAGATGTGGGACAAACGGTGAGTGTGTCAACTGAGTCACAATAAGTGAGGGAATATCTGTGGACTGAATAGATGAAAAGCTAGATTTGACATCACTTAACTAGCTAATATAAAGGGAGCCTGATTTTGAAATATAAAGTGTTGAAAAGATAAAATAAAGGCAGATAATGTGTAACCTGGAGAGAGTGGAGGCTGCATTTCTGAAGACCAAAGGTATTTTATAGGTCTCTTACAAAGTGTCAGAAAAAGGTAACAAGAAGATAATATTAAGCAGACATCATTTAGTAGTATAGAATAGAGCTGGAGAGAGCAACACAGGAGTTTGGGAGAGGGGCCCTGGAATTGAGTTTGCCAATAATATAGAAGTGGCATATCAGAGAAAGGATTATGAAGCACTTTCCCCATTTGTGCTTGGCCATACCTGAACTTGGACCTTCCACGAAGAGCTCTAAAGCCCAAGGGACATCTCTTTAGCCTCACAAAGCCTCATCATCATCAAATGCCCTTCAAATTAGAAGTGAATTAGTTCTCATTGCCCCATAAATTTGTTTCATAATTTTACTAATTATATAGTTTCTCTTGACTTAACCACCAAGAATTTCACGCTCTGCTTTTGAAATGTGTGTTTCAAAAGCTGCACCACACCAGCTATCAGACCACGGTCAAAAAAGCAAAAAGAAAAAGGAAAAGAGAGGAGAGAAGAAAAGCCACAATTCCACCCATCTTGTGAACATTTCAGACCCATCGAGTTCCTCCAAATAACTCAGTAAGTTTTCTGAGAGTTTCCTTTGCGCTGTTGGAACCAGTACTGTTAGCTATTACAGTGCTATTTTCCTCTTGTTCCACTCACTGTCATGAAGGCTAGTTGATTCCAATGTCAAAAGTGGTTCCAGAGATACCCTCTCCTCAACTGATGCCCACCAAAGAGCCTGCTACTGCCACTCATGTTGTCAACATGTGCACCAAGACCAAGGTACTCATGTCTGTGCCAAAGACAATGCAGACATCTTTGCAAATTCTGTTATTACAACAGATGCCTCCCTTATAATGTCTGTAATCAGTCAACGAATACACCCACATCATTGTACCATGCCTGTGCTACCATAAGCCAATAGCAACAGGGACACTGATGCCCTGCAGTCTCAAATTCCCAAAGATATTATGGAAAACTCACTTTTCACTTTTACTTGTTCTTGTACTTGCTCTTACCATCTGATTCAGGTGTAAGTAGTTGGGACCACGAGTAAAATACACTGTGCTTTATTCACAATAATCCTTTCTTTTTCAACATCTGCCCAGTGTCTTTGAACTAGATACCCCTGCTTCAACTGTCTCTTAGATGTTATTTTTTAGGCCTTTTGGTGCCACATGTAAACAGCACCCTAGAAGTAAGATTACACATAAACTTGGTGGAGTGAGAAATTATGTTTCCCTCTTCCAAAATTTACTACAATGACAATGTAGGAATTTAAAAAAAACTGCAGAGTAGGAGAAGAAATGACAGAACATGAGAAATTTTTAATGCAATTTTAGAAAGCAGGTTGAGGAACGGGGATGGTCATAGTTTCAGCTTTCTTTGTTGTATTGACTTTTTCTGGAGCACGTAATAAGAAGGAAGCTAAACTCTACCTCTGGATCCCAATAATGCTCAGGGATGAGAAGCTCAGGATTTCTGAAGGCAAGGGAGAAGAGGAATGAAAGAGAAAAATGATCCTCCAATGGAGGATCAGTAGAAATCTTTCACAATGAGTTGTTAGGCCACCAGGTATCTTCCCTGATGCAATGAAACCTGGAAATGACTTTCACCCCACCTAACTTAGATGGGATATTTGCTACATGAAGAAGTTCAAGCCTGGAATGAGGTACCTTAATGAGAAGGAGCTTTAAAATACAAAGGGTGTGTGTGTGTGCGTACATACACATATGAGTCCCATCATCCACAATGTTATTTGTCTAGGTTAAAGACAGAAGTTTCATCTAAAAAAAAAAAAAAAAACCTGAGCAGCCCCTCCCGCTTAAAAAAGGCTTATTAACAATTGAGGGTCTCCCAGTGAAATGGCCAAATTCCTACACTGCCTCCGTCTCCCTAATTCTTATCCATCAATAAGCCTATCCATGCACAGAGACTTCCCAGTCATCTTTTTATCGCTCAGCCTGTATGGATAGACTTCAGGTATTATCATATATTTGAAGAAAATCTCTAACAAGGAAAATAAAAAGCTCAAAATGAAATAAAAACAAGGAACAAAACAGACAATGCAGAAAACAGAAAAAGTGAGAACAGAATAAAGATATTTTTCAGACCTGCAAAGTAAAAATTCAATTATATGCTGCTATAAAAATACCTAAAACTAAGGCTACATAAAGGTTGAAAATAGTGGGAAAAGATAACATGCAAATAACAACAACATAAAATTTGGTATAGCTATATTAATATCAATTTTAAAGGTGAATAGTATTATTATAAATTAAGACGGATTCTTACTAATGATAACAGGGTCAACTTATCAGGAAGATACAGTGTGCTATCAAAATATATAAATTAAAATAAATTGGCAAAACATTAAGGAAAAATAAATTCCCATAGAAAATGTGAAATAACATATTTTACTCAATAATCAATGGAACAAGCAGACAAAAACTAGTAAGGATATAAAGGATTTAAATAAGAGGATGAGCAAACTCTGCCTAATGGATATATAGAGAAAAACTCACCCCACAACTACAGAATGCACATTCTTTTAATGCAACAGAGAACACTTAGAAATATTGATCATCAGCAGGGCCATAAACAAGTCTCAAAAAAATTAAAATGACTAAATTATACATAGGATATTCTTTGTCCATAATATAACTAAACTATACATCAGTAACATATAATTTGAGAACTCCCAGATCATTGGAAACTAAGAGAGACACTTCCAAATAACAGGAGTCAAAATAGAAACCTCAATGAGGCAGAGTAAATATTTTGAACAGGATAATAATGAAAGCACTGTGAGAAAGAGCTAACACCATGCTTAAACTTTTAATTTTGAATAAATATATTGGAAAATAAGAAATGCTAAAACTGAATGATTAAAAATCCTTGTCAAGGAATTAGAGAAGAAACAGCAAAATTAACCACAAAGAGAGAAATATATAAGTTTTTCAAAGACTTCAATTAAATAAGCAGTAAAGAAAAAAGGAATTATACAATAGACCAACACAGCTAGTCCTATGAAAAGATGTAAAATTAATCAGTCCCTGGCAAGACTGATAAAAATATACAGAAAAAGCACAATGTCAGAAATCAATGTCAGAAATGAAATAGGGGCATTGCTATAGACTCTTCAGAGATTAAACAAATAATCAGCTCTTTTTTTAAATGATATGCAAACTAAAAATGAAAATTTAGGTGAAATCAGTAAGTTTCTAGAAAAAAAAACATTTACAAATTACCAAAATGTACATAGGAATAAAAAGTAGATTTGTAACTACTCACAAAATTCTATCTATATTTAGAAACTTTCCCACAAGAAAAATCCAGGCCCAGAAGAATGGATGAGCATATTATAGTACAGTCCTACAATGGAGACTGTTCAACAATGAAAACTAGTACTAATTGAAGCCTGGATAGTTCTCAGAAACTGTCACAGAAAAGAAGTCAAAACCCCCTCACCAAAAACATTATATAATTACAAATATATAAAACTCAGAAATAGCCAAAACTAAGCTATGGTGTTAGAGAAGTTGTATAAGTGGTAAAACTATTTAGCAAAGTAAGAAAGCAAAGGGCCTAAAACATGAGATAGTTATTACTTTGGAGGGAAGGGAGAGGTTTATCACTAGGACAGCCAGAGGGCAGCTTCTGGGATCCTGACAATACTCCTTTGATTGACATCAGTGATGATAACATGAGCAACATGAGTGTCCACTTAATAATATTTTATAACAATTTACTCCACAATAATTAAGATATACCTGTGTGCAATCGGCCTTCACATTTATGCAGGTAGATTATTTCCACATTTTAAAAATTACCAAAAATATAAAGAACCAATTAGTATAACAAAGTTTCAACGAATGGTAACTATTTTCTTTTTATGGGAGAAACACTGGGATAGTAAAAGATCAACATAGCTTTGGGAGAAAATTATTTTTATGTTGGATCGGATGGTGCCACAAAAGGAAGTAGAAGAACGAAGATTCCTGAAATATGATCGAGGCTGTGCAATTAGTGAAATATCCTGGCCAGAACAAGGGCAAGGTAAAAAAATAATAAACGATGAAGCTGAAAATTAATGATGTAGTGAAGAGTATTGTAATGAGTGCCTATAATGTAATTTAGCCTATATTTTAAAGTATGTGAACAATTCACATTTGGAAACTAGATTGTTTCAGTTTCTTCCATAAGTTGCTACAGTTTAAATATCTTTCTGCATTCTAACTGACTAAGCTTCTTGGTACCTCTTAAGGGGAAAGTGATGGTATAGCTGAATGAAAGGGCTACCATTTTTACATACATAATGCATGACAAGGTAGAGCTTAAATCTAGTGCCATTTGAAAGACCCATAAAAATTTATATTTGCTTCATTTATTTCAAGACAGGGAGGCAGGAAGTCACCTCGAAGCAAATGTTCCCTGGGTTCCATGAGGAATCACTTTGGTAATTTCCCGGTAGTTCTCTGGGTTAAGATAAGAAAGTTACTGAGGAAGGGGAATGGGAAAGAGTGTAATAAACTTCTGTGACTCTAGTAAAGCTCTGCAAGACACTGACATGCAGAGCTGATCACCAGGGAGGAAAAGAGGAGATCTGCTCCCCAAGATGGGAAGCACACAGGCTTCTTGTGAAAGACCTGACAGGCCCAGCGCTACAGAAGAATGATGAGACGTCTCCAAACAAAAACTGTGGGGAAAGTGGATGGCCACACTGCTGACTTGGGCTGCTCACTAAAGGGTATGTGTAGGAGAGCTGTTTTCAGCCCCCAGTATGACTAATGGAAGCTCTTCTGAACTCACCATTCTGGGGTTAGAAACAGCGCTGTGGCCCATGCAGGGTCTGGGCCAGGGACAACACTCATGCTGAGTAGACAGAAGTCTGTGGAACTATGCAGGAGCAAGCTTCAACAATGACACCATGTAGCACACTAACAGTAAGACACACATGAAGTAGAAGAATAATCAGAATGGCACAGCTTTTTCTATAGCTGGTATTTGAAAAACACAGACCCTAGTGACCCTACATAGGACTGGGCAAAGCATCAAGTTTAAAGTTGACTGGGCGGGTATAACTTCAAAAGGGATATTGGATTCCTTGCTAATGAATGCAGGTAAGACTTCAAGACATTAATTAAAAGGTTAAAATATATCAGCCCAAATTTATACTCATTTTGCAAAGCATTCATGCCACCAATATATGATGCCAGATATTTCTACACAATCAGCTTAAATCTGCTGGGCATACATAAAATCCCTCACAAATACTGAAAGCATAGGCCTTTGGTGGTAATTAAAGGTCTGTTTGCCTGGGAATTTCTCTTCAAGCAACTCAGGAACAAGAAGCTTAGGAGCATACCCAGCCCTGAAAGAAAAGCCACTTAGGATGCCTCCCAGCCATCTGCAATGGAACTTAAAGGCAGCTGCTTATCCCTGAAGGAGAGGGTCAGCTATTTATTCATTCTTTCAACAATATTGATTGAACACCTCCTGGATGCCAGGAACTGTGCTAGGTGCTGGGAATACCAAGATGAATAAGACATACTCATTACCATTTAGCAAATGAAAAAAGACTTGCAAACAATTCAACAGAGCCCTCTGTGTAAAATGTTGTGCATGAGAGAGGAAGTGGGGATGAGAGAAGCCTAATTCTTCTGGTGTGAAGAGAAGGGGGCAGAGAGAAGAGAAGGCTTTACAGAGAAGGGCAGAGGAGGGCAAAAGTGTTTGAAGTAGAAGAAAACAGACAGACAAAGGAAGAGAAGGCTGGAAGCAGCAGGGCATGAGAGGAGCGGAGAGGGCAGCTCAGGGCTGCTGCTGGAATGCCCAGTGCAGCAGGCAGGCAGGCTGGAGAGGCAGAGGATATGTCCCAGCAGGCTTTGCACAGCCTTAACAAGGCTTGAAATGAGAACTGAAATGGGAACATTAGAAGCATAAACCTGTATCCCAACATCTACCTAATATTATTTATTTCATATCTTTAAAAGGCTTTCCATTTAGGAAATGGTATCAGTCAGAGTTCTCCAGAGAAACAGAACCAGCAGATGATGAAATAGACAGATAGATAGACAGACAGACAGACATTGGCATACACATAAATAGAGATTTATTTCAGGGAACTGGCTTATGCAACTGTGGATCTGGCAACCAGGCTGGAATTTCTTAGGAAGAAGCTGATACTGAAAAATTCAGGAAGAATTTCTTCTTTCTCTGGGAAACATCAATTTTTGCTTCTGCAGCCTTTCAACGGATTGGCTAAGGCCCACCCACATTATCAAGAAGAAACTATTTTACTTAGTCTTTTTTTTTTTGAGACAGAGTTTTGCTCTTGTTGCCCAGGCTGGAGTGCAATGGCACGATCTCAGCTCATCACAACCTCAGCCTCCCATGTTTAAGCAATTCTCCTGCCTCAGCCTCCCGAGTAGCTGGGATTATAGGCATGCACCAACAAACCCAGCTAATTTTGTATTTTTAATAGAGATGGGGTTTCTCCATGTTGGTCAGGCTGGTCTCAAACTCTTGACCTCAGGTGATTTGCTCCCCTCGGCCTCCCAAAGTTCTGGTGTAACAGGCACGCGCCACCGTGACCAGCCTTACTTAGTCATTTTATTGGAGATGTCAACTATATCTACAAAATACCTTCAAAACAACGCCTAGATTTGTATTTGATTAAACAACTGGGTACTACAGCCTAGCCAAATTGATACATAAAACTATCATAGAAATCATATTAATAATTTACATTTAAAGATACAGTTGTTTTTACATCCAAAAATACAATGCCTATCAACATATGACACAATATTTTAAAATCTCTATGATCCTAATTTTAGAATTCAACACAGAAATCCTGTAAAATTGCCTCCACTTTCCCTAGCTACCTCATCAAGTAGAAATGGTGCTTCTCATCAATATTATCATTGAGAAGTCAACAGACTTACTCATACTTGAATATTTTATCATTTAAACTGTGGGATTTCGCAATATTTCTGAAATTTTAACTCAGTTTCCATGAGTTCATACCTGTGCCTTAATCCATGAATTTTGTTGCAACACAGAACTACATGGCTCTCTTTTTCTTCTGGCTCCTTTTTGAAGTTCCTGCACTAGAATTATTTATGCTGTCAAGCATCAACTTTCTGCTTGCATGTTAACAGCTGCAGATAACAGGTAAATTACATGCATGTCCAACC